>NW_019805497.1:0-150818 GCF_000001405.40 Homo sapiens
GAGCTCTTTTAGGGCAGGCCTGGTGGTGACAAAATCTCTCAGCATTTGCTTGTCTGTAAAGTATTTTATTTCTCCTTCGCTTATGAAGCTTAGTTTGGCTGGATATGAAATTCTGGGTTGAAAATTCTTTTCTTTAAGAATGTTGAATATTGGCCCCCACTCTCTTCTGGCTTGTAGAGTTTCTGCCAAGAGATCCGCTGTTAGTCTGATGGGCTTCCCTTTGAGGGTAACCCGACCTTTCTCTCTGGCTGCCCTTAACATTTTTTCCTTCATTTCAACTTTGGTGAATCTGACAATTATGTGTCTTGGAGTTGCTCTTCTCGAGGAGTATCTTTGTGGCGTTCTCTGTATTTCCTAAATCTGAATGTTGGCCTGCCTTGCTAGATTGGGGAAGTTCTCCTGGATAATATCCTGCAGAGGGTTTTCCAACTTGGTTCCATTCTTCCCATCACTTTCAGGTACACCAATCAGACGTAGATTTGGTCTTTTCACATAGTCCCATATTTCTTGGAGGCTTTGCTCATTTCTTTTTATTCTTTTTTCTCTAAACTTCCCTTCTCGCTTCATTTCATTCATTTCATCTTCCATCGCTGATACCCTTTCTTCTAGTTGATCGCATCGGCTCCTGAGGCTTCTGCATTCTTCACGTAGTTCTCGAGCCTTGGTTTTCAGCTCCATCAGCTCCTTTAAGCACTTCTCTGTATTGGTTATTCTAGTTATACATTCTTCTAAATTTTTTTCAAAGTTTTCAACTTCTTTGCCTTTGGTTTGAATGTCCTCCCGTAGCTCACAGTAATTTGATCGTCTGAAGCCTTCTTCTCTCAGCTCGTCAAAGTCATTCTCCATCCAGCTTTGTTCCGTTGCTGGTGAGGAACTGCGTTCCTTTGGAGGAGGAGAGGCGCTCTGCTTTTTAGAGTTTCCAGTTTTTCTGTTCTGTTTTTTTCCCATCTTTGTGGTTTTATCTACTTTTGGTCTTTGATGATGGTGATGTACAGATGGGTTTTTGGTGTGGATGTCCTTTCTGTTTGTTAGTTTTCCTTCTAACAGACAGGACCCTCAGCTGCAGGTCTGTTGGAATACCCTGCCGTTTGAGGTGTCAGTGTGCCCCTGCTGGGGGGTGCCTCCCAGTTAGGCTGCTCGGGGGTCAGGGGTCAGGGACCCACTTGAGGAGGCAGTCTGCCCGTTCTCAGATCTCCAGCTGCGTGCTGGGAGAACCACTGCTCTCTTCAAAGCTGTCAGACAGGGACATTTAAGTCTGCAGAGGTTACTGCTGTCTTTTTGTTTGTCTGTGCCCTGCCCCCAGAGGTGGAGCCTACAGAGGCAGGCAGGCCTCCTTGAGCTGTGGTGGGCTCCGCCCAGTTCGAGCTTCCCAGCTGCTTTGTTTACCTAATCAAGCCTGGGCAATGGCGGGCGCCCCTCCCCCAGCCTAACTGCTGCCTTGCAGTTTGATCTCAGACTGCTGTGCTAGCAATCAGGAGACTCCGTGGGCGTAGGACCCTCCAAGCCAGGTGCCGGATATAATCTCGTGGTGCGCCATTTTTTAAGCCCGTCGGAAAAGCGCAGTATTTGGGTGGGAGTGACCCGATTTTCCAGGTGCCATCCGTCACCCCTTTCTTTGACTCGGAAAGGGAGCTCTGTGACCCCTTGCGCTTCCCAAGTGAGGCAATGCCTCGCCCTGCTTTGGCTCGCGCACGGTGTGCGCACCCACTGACCTGCGCCCACTGTCTGGCACTCCCTAGTGAGATGAACCCGTTACCTCAGATGGAAATGCAGAAATCACCGTCTTCTGCGTCGCTCATGCTGGGAGCTGTAGACCGGAGCTGTTCGTATTCAGCCATCTTGGCTCCTCCCCACAAAGGTACAATTCTTGACAGCATGACACTCAGAGTTAAAGATGGTATTATTTGGCTTAAAAACCACAAATACTGACAAATATAAACTAAACTTATGAGTTTGCTATTTTACTAAAATATCATTGGTTAAAATACTGATCTCTTTGCTTCTCTGTTACCTCATCTATACATTCATGAACTGGAAATAAAATTATGGTTAGATTAGGCCAGGTGTGGTGCCTCATGCCTATAATCCCAGCATTTTGGGAGGCTGAGTAGGCCAGATCACTTGAGGTCAGGAGTTCAAGACCAGCCTGGCCAACATGGTGAAACCCCATCTCTACTAAAAATACAAAAATTATCCAGATGTAGTGGTACATGCCTGTAATCCCAGCTACTCAAGAGGCTGAGGCAGGATAATTGCTTGAACCTGGGAGGCAGAGGTTGCAGTGAGCCCTGATTATACCAGTGCACTCCAGCCTAAGTGACAGAGCAAGACTCCATCTCACAAAACCAAACAAAACAAAAAAATTACAATGAGATTAGATATAGGTAAATGTTAGACTTAATGCTTATAAAGTACCTAGCTCACAGTAGATTTATAGAAAATGTTAGGCTGTCACCTTTTTTTCTTCTTTGTTTCTTTCATCATCCATATTTCTCCTTTACTTAATTCCAATGAAAACCTTTAAGTAATGCATATTATGTAACAATATATATTACATTAAATAAATTTAAATGCAATTAATGATATTTATCTGCAATGCACATAAAGACCTACTACCTTGCTAGAATTTGGTCCCAAATTTGACCCAAGTATACCAGAAATGTTTTAAAATAGTGTTGTGGATTGTGTCTGTGTATGTGTGTATGTATGTGTGTGTGTGTTTGCGTGTATACATATATATATACACACTATATATTTGTACATAATAATGAGAGAGCGTTGAATGCAATGGCAATTGATAGAAAGTGCAGTACAATTTTTAAAATGTAAAAATGTTTCTGAAAGGAAATTAAATCAAAATTTGTCCTTGATATAACAAGTATTAATTCAAAAAGGAAGTATTGGAAGTGCAAGTGATGTCCAGACAGAGGAAACAGCATACCCAAACATTCAAAGTGAAGAAGGCCATGATGCTTGTGGAGAATCTACTTCTACATTTCTTTGTTCCAGTCTTCTGTTACACACAGCTCATGGAAACTGCTAAACACACTGAGATCCAGTTTAGAGGCATTTCTTGTTTACACATTTTTAAAAATTTCACCTTAAAAATTCTGAAAATATAGAGAGGTACAGTGTGCTTTCAGACTATTTCCAAACTTCTAAAGAAAAACAGAGAAAAACTAGGTTAACAAAATTAAAATTCATGAACAATATTTACAACAACACTGGGTAACAATGTGCCCTACAAAAAATCCCCAGTGTAAATAGTGACAGACAAATCAGGAAGACCTGCAATATCCATGAGGAATCAGAATCCTTTCAAGATTAAGCAGAGAGGGTGAACACAATATATTATGGATTTGAGAACCCCCAAGTCAGCAACAAGGATTCATTAGAAAGTGGGCAAGGCAATTAAAAAACAGCTA
This sequence comes from Homo sapiens, assembly GCF_000001405.40. NCBI lineage: Eukaryota > Metazoa > Chordata > Mammalia > Primates > Hominidae > Homo > Homo sapiens. The sequence goes on from NW_019805497.1 coordinate 3,426, forward strand.
CGGAAACTAAGTAGGGTGGGAGTTTGCACACATCAATAAGCAAGAGTCCAGGATGAGATAAAAAAGAGGCTGGGACCATATGGCTTCTACAACTCTTAAAATAACCAGACCAAATTCTCTTCCAGGATCAAGTTCCGTATTGAGAAGAATTTACTGTAAGTAAACTACATATTAAACAAGGCTGACACAATAGGGCCAAAAAAAGAGAAGGCCCACCTTCTCTTTTTATATATATATTATATATATATATATTATATATATATAATATATAATACTGTATATATATTATATATACAGTATATAAAGTATATATTTATATATAATACATATTATATATAAATATATAAAGTATATATTTATATATAATATGTATTATATATAAATATAGAAAGTATATATTTATATATAATATATATTTTATATAAATATACACTTTCTATATTTATATATAATATATAATATATATAAATATATAAGGTGTATATATATAATATATATTATATATAAATATATAAAGTATATATTTATATATAATATATATTATACATACAATATATAAAGTATGTATTTTTATGTTATATATAAATATATAAAATATATATTTATATATAATATATATTATATATAAATATATAAAGTACATCTATAAAATATATAAAACATATGTTAATTATATATAATTAATTAATATATATAAATTATATATAAAATATAAAGCATATCATATAAAATATATAATATATAATATATTGTATAAATATTTATATATTATATATTTTATATGATATAGTTTATAAATCATATAAAAATTATATATATATATAACATAGGGCTCAATTAGTTTCTGCTAGTGTGGAGAGAAGTCATATGGCTAAGGGCCATGATGGTAGGAGCAGTCAGAGGATTTCTTGCGTTATGATGAATGCATATAAGTTATATGAGCCACTTATGAGTAGATTTCATAGCAGGATAACAGTTATATCATTGATACCTAGGCAGTACATGACACTCAATAAAGAATAGATTAATCCTCATGCTCTTCATCTTCCTCCTAATCTCTTTACCTGTGCTGCCCTCCAGCTTTCAAAGTGCTCTCAGAGTCATCACTTACACAGTGTTCCTTTGCTTCCCCTTCAGTGGGCCAGTGTTTCTGTGCCCCAGTGTTCCTGCGAGATAGAACACAGAAAACAGAGCAGGCTCTTGCCCACATCACAGAACATCTTTGTCTCCCTGTGGATCCCGCACATTTGTTCATTAGAGCTCAGGAATTGCCAGAGACTGGCTTTTCTCACAATGGACACTAGATTCTTCAGAAGAATATCGGTTTTGAAATCTTCCTGCTGTGACGGTTCCCTGCATGCAGGGCAGGAGTGTGGGCTTCTTCCCAGCAAAGGCAGAGGCAGGGCCTACAGAAACTGTGCCAGCAGCCTATAGTGATGGGGTCTATGAGGTAATTCAGGCAGATGAGGCAGGTGAGTTCTTTCTGGAAGGCTTGTGGGAATTCTAAGTCCATTTTTCTGAGGGAAGAAACCCAGAAGAATTTATTCTTATGCCATAGAGAGACAAAGATCTATGCAAAGTTTGAATCAGGTTTTGAGTAGGATCAGCTCACAAGTTTAAATCTATAGCAGGATAGAATTTTATTTTACACATAACGAAAATGAAAAACTGAGGCACAGAATTCAAGCTTTGCAGAAAAATGTGTTGGCTCCCTAACGAACACACACACACACCTACTTTCCCAAATTCTTTCCTCCTGTATGAAAAAAAACTTAAGGCTGGGCACAGTGGCTCACGCTTGTAATCCAGCACTTTGGGAGGCTGAGGCAGCAGGATTGCTTGATCCAAGGACTTCAAGACCAGCCTGGGCAACATGATGAGACCCTGTCTCTACAAAAAAAAAAAAAAAAAGAGGAAAAAAATTACCTGAGCATGCCTATAGCCCCAGCTACTAGAGAGGCTGAGGTGAGAGGATTGCTTGAGCCCAGGAGGTCAAGGCGGCAGTGAGCCATAATCCAGCCACTATACTCTAGCCTGAGTGACAGAGCAAGACTGTCTTAAAAATGAACAAAGAAAGAAAAGAAAGAAAGGAAGAAAGAGAGAGAGAGAAGAAGGAAGGAAGAAAAGAAGGAAGGAAGTTTACAGAGTTTTTTGAAGTGTTAGTGTTCCCTAAATTTTATGGTCTTCAGAGGTTTACCCTCCTATAGCTTCAAGGGGTGAGTCCTGACTGATAGGAAAATCAGTCACACTCTTACTTGCCAGTGATTCATTTAGGGAAGACAGCTAACTAAGCTCTTCCACTTTGATTATTTCATTTAATTGTTAACAACCATCTTATCATGACTTCTTCAAAATTACCCTGCCAGTAAGTGTTGGAGGCCTCCCCAGAAGCAGAAACCACCATGCTTCCTGTATAGCCTATGGAACCATGAGCCAACTAAAGGTATTTCTCGGTTATTTCTTAATATCTTTGGCCAAAATTAAAGAGTTAGGCTTTACTCTCCAAGATACTGCAATAGACAAAAACAAGCCACCACTGTTTTCTAATGTTGTTTTCTTGTTAATTCAATCAACAAGTATTTTCTGGTAAGTTTAGTGTTCCAGAGACTGTTAACCTGGTGATGTACTGGTTAATAAAACATCCTCAAGAGAATTAAATGTTTAAAAATAAACCAGATGATAAAATGCAGTAGTGTACACAATGCCACTTAACCACATGTCTTCTGTCTGTCACCCATGATCCAGAAAATGTCTTTAGTATAAGCCATTGGTAAAGATGCATGAAAAATTTACATATAGAAGACATAGTCACAAAATTATTTTTTTCCTTTGATATCCCTTGTTACCTCAAATAGAATTTACCACTCCAATTCGATTTCTGAATACATGGGAGTTAATAGAATACTCCTAATCCATTTATAGGATCTACACTAAGTAAAAAAATTAAAGACATCTGAAAACTACTTTGTGAGTCCTTATACTCCATATCAATAGTCATGGAATATATTAAGTAATAGGCCAAAAATTAATCATCATATTAACCAAAAACACATAGTAAGACAAGGTAACTAAATATTTTCATTTGGAAATTGGGAAATTTAGTCAATTTTAAAACTCAGCACATGAGATCATTTCACAGAAGGAACCTAGGTTTGCTGGCAAATTATAATTAGGACATTTTTGTTTTGGTTTGGGAGGGTAGTTCCTCTTCTGTAAATTGTGTACTCACTTAAGAAATATATCTATTTTCTCACCGACGCTTGCTGTAGAGGTAATACTATGAAGTTAGCTCAGGGATCAGGACTCCACATTGCGGTGCTGGTAGCTTTTTTTTTTTTTTTTTTTTTTTTTTTTGCACTGCACCTTGAGTAAAAGTTTCCTGAGGCCTCCCCACAAGCAGAAACCACCATGCTTCCTGTATACCCTATGGAACCATGAGCCAACTAAAGGTATTTCTCATGTATTTCTTTATAGCAATGCAAGAACATACTAATACAGCTAAGCAGAGGCCATCAGGACCAGCAACAGTCTGAGCTGGATGAGAGACAAAGCTAAACTTTGAGAAGCAGCAGGAGCTGCCAGGGGACAGAAAGGAAGGATGGAGTCCTAAATTCCAGGATGTCTCCTTTAAATCTGTAAGAAGCTCAGCCACTGTCTTTTTACCTGACTCCTCTGGGAAAGAGTTTCCCTAGGTTAAGCCATACAGGGATAGGGCAGGAGATGCCATTTGGATCTAGGAGCAGAGGTCAGAGACTCAGCAGGAAGAGTGTCTCTATGAGAAGCAGACACAGTGGAGCAGGTGCATAGGTTCACAGGGCCAGCTATGGGTAGAGTCGGGTGTACATTTTTAGAAGCCACAATTCCCAAAAATCTCCTGACTATAACATCAGTGCACAGAGCCAGTCAAATGGAGGAGGAGTGGGTCCAGGCAATTCAGGAAGAAGGAAAGTAAAAAATGAGTGGTTTCAGGAGAACACTTTCTCTGTCGAGGTCACTAGACAGAACATTGTAGCCTCACCTTAACTTCGGAAACAAGCAATGGAGGGTAAAAGTGTTGCCTGGGCCCTGGGAGCAAAGGCAGTAGATAACTTCTCTGTTGTGTCCTCCAGAAGGGCCTAGTCCAGCCTCACAGGCCGAGAAGTCTGTTCAGTTCCCAAGTACTAGAGATGCTGCTATAAGGGATCCCTGAATTTCCTGCCCGGACCACAGGCTCCCCGGCCTTTTCTTCCTGTTTTATTTTTTCCCAGGAAGAAACTTGCCTGTATAATTACAAGGTTCTATGATTCTAAATTCCAACCTAGCCTTCCACATCGTTTTGAAGGTATAATATTATTTGTCAGAGTGGGATGATAGAAGATATGTGTGCACATAAAATTAAGTTGTTGACAAGGAAAAAAACTAAAATAAAAAAATAAGAGAGAAAAAATATGTATGTACAGTGGTTAGCTAGAAATATGCCTTTTAAATATTTGACATGTGGTATGTGGGCCTCAATGTGTACTATTGCACTAGCTTCACAAATATTAAAGGATGTCTTTTAAAAGAAAAACCTCTTGCTAAAAGGTTAACAGTCAAAATAACCCGAGTGGCACAGGTACCAGTCATTAAGTGAAACCTTTCATCTTCCCAGTATAGTACCTGTTCCCAAGCCAGCTTCTTTGAAAATCACTTTTCTCTCTTTTACTATTTAGTTTATAAATTGCATAGTAACAATACAGAAACCACAATAGCAGAAAAAACTAATAAAGAATATTTTTAAATGAAAACTCACATCCTAACTCTACCAAAACATGGTAATTAAACCTGAATGCCTCCCTTTCCTGATATATTTTTTCACCTAAATATTCAGCTCTGGGATTGCATTGTCTTTGGATTGAGTGAAAATTATTGCCTGGTCTCTAAATCTTCCATAGTGTGTGTGTGAGTGTGTGTGTGTGTTGAATGTATTTCTTTTTGTTCAGAGCAAACTTTTTTCAATATGTATATATAGATATATATATTTAGGCAGATTATGCCAGTAATTTTCTACAAATGTGCTTTTTTAAAAATAATCTTTAATTAAAAAAATAATTATTATTCTTATCCAGTGGCCCATAATTTTTAAAAACACTACTAATAGAGCTGGGTATGGAGTCACACACCTGCCATCCCAGCTACTTGGGAGACTGAGGCAGGGGTATTTGCTTGAACCTGGGAATGTGAAACTAGCCTGGGCAACATAGTGAGACCCCCATTTCAAAAATCAATCTGTCATTTAAAAATAAAATAAAATAAAACAAAACACTACTAATAGCTTTTTAAAAAATATTTCTTAACCAATTTTCCTAGCACCTTCCTTTCCTCAGTGAAGTATAGAAATATGTTGTCAGGGACTGTGGCTTACACCTATAATCCCAATCATTTGGGAAGCCAAAGCATGAGAAACAGTTGAGTCCAGGAGTTCAAGACCAGCCAAGGCGACATAATGAGACCCAGTCTCTAAAACAAATTTTTTTTTTTTATTACCAGGGCATGATGGTGCATGCCTGTAGCCCAGCTACTTGGAAGGCTGAGGTAGGAGAATCGCTTGAGCCCAGGAGGTCAAGGCTGCAGCGAGCCATGGTTGTGCCACTGCACTCCATACCTAGGTGACAGAGTGAGACACAGTATCAAAAACAAACAAACAACAAAAAAAAGTATTTGTTTTAGAAAAAACATTTGGTGAGGTTTGGGCTTAAAAATATATTATTCTAAAATGTTCATAAATATTCTCTAGTAATGATAAGATTAAAGTGACAAAGACAAATTTTTTCCTGTGCAGTTCTATCTCTCACCTTCCCATAATTTGTCTGTCCCATCCAGCTTCCTAAGGAAATTATTTACAAAATAATGTCTGCATCGTGGGTCTATATATCTGTTGCCTATGAGGAGAGCATTTAAGATCTGAGCCATCTTCAAGTCTTATACTTTGTGTATGGCTCTCATGTTTATGCAGGTTAAGTAAGTTTGTATGCCCTTTCTCTTATTAATCTGTGTATGGTCAGTTCATTTCGGGTAATCGTCAGAGGGTGAAAGGGGAAGCTTTTCACTTCACTCCTACTGTGACGGCCAACTACCTTCTTACTTATTCAGTTTTTTAGTATATATCAACACTTTTATATACCTTTAATTTTAAATAAAATTTTGCATCATTTCACTTAAAATTGTATTTACCTTTTAAAAAGGAAATTAAAAATAAATTTAAAAAATATAAAATTTTAAATAATAAAAATAAATGATTTATATAAAAATTAATCTGACCTGTGAAAAACACTATCAAGAGAATAAAATGACAAGTCGTAGACTAGGAGTAAATATTTACAAAAGCTATATCTGGTGAAGATATATTTGTTATCCAAAATATACAAAGAACTCTCAGGACTCAATATAAGAAAACAAATAGTCCAACACAAATGTAAAGATCTGAACAGACATTTCACCATAGAAGACAGATGGATGATAAATAAGCACATTGAAAGATGTTCAACATCATTCATCATTAGAGAACTGCAAATTAAAACCACAATAAGATACTGCTACATCCCTATTAGAATAGCTAAAATTTGAAAGACTGACCATACTAAACATTGGTGAGAACACAAAGGAACTGGAATGCTCATACACCGCTGCTGGAAATATTAAACAGTATAGACACTTTGTCAGTTTCTTTAAAAGTTAAACATATCACACCACCTAGTCATTCAAATCCTGCGTATTTACCCAAGACAAATGAAAGCGTATGTCCAAACGGTTGGACAAACATTCATAGCAACTTTATTTGAAATAGCAAAAACAACTGGAAGCAACCCAAATGTCCATCAAGAGGTGAAAAGATACACTAACTGTAGAATATCCATACAATAAAACTATCTTTTTTTAACTACGGGGCAAAAAACAAAAAACCAAAGATAGAATCTAACTTCTTGGTAAATACCTTCACTATTAGGGTTTTTTATAACAGAGAATTCATTCTTTATTAATACTCTTGACTATGAAAATATTTTGACATCAGAAATCTGCAAAATATGAATAAACAAGCAAACAAAGGACACACAGCTTTTTTTATTTTTATTTTTATTTTATTTTTATTTTTTTTGAGACAGTCTCGCCCTGTTGCCCAGGCTGGAGTGCAGTGGGGCGATCTCCGCTCACTGCAAGCTCTGCCTGCCGGGTTCACGCCATTCTACTGCCTCAGCCTCCCGAGTAGCTGGACTACAGGCACCTGCCACCACGCCCGGCTAATTTTTTGTATTTTTAGTAGAGACGGGGTTTCACCGTGTTAGCCAGGATGGTCGGATTGTCTTGATCTCCTGACCTCGTGATCTGTCGCCTCGGCCTCTCAAAGTGCTGGGATTACAGGCGTGAGCCACCGCGCCCGACCCCAGGACACACAGCTTTAAAAGCTCTCCTTGGTCTCACCCAGTGCCAACCAACTAAAACCTCTCATTTTCCCCCAGGCATTTCTTCTGCCTCCAGGATGGAGGTACAGAATCTTGGCCTTGGGCCACGCACTGGGGACCATGCTGGGCTGCCGTGGTCAGCGACAGACTCAGGTTCTCACCAGGAGCCCCAGGATAAGCCCCTGAAAAAAAATGTTACCCATCAGGGTGTGCTCCCTGATTCTTGTCTCTGCTGGAAGGAGGAAATCAAGCCAGGAACATTGTCAGGAGAGAGATGAAAATGGGGCTCAGGTTTCTGTCTCTTGTGATGTCAGACAAACCTTTCAGCTCCATCTCCTCAGCCCTCATGGAATTGTTCGGTGTGGACGCACTGAGATTCTGAACTGGGTCCCCTCTCCCTCTGCCTTTCTCTGGGGCCAGATCCTGAGCTCTCCAATCCAATTTTTCCCCCAATTTGACCTTGGATTTATGTATCTCAATTACTGTCTGCCTGTCCCAAAGAATAAAAGCTGTATCGCAGCAGGGACGTTGTTTAAAAAAATAATAATAACAGCTATATTTTTAGGATCCATGACACTGTCCAGCATATCGGTGGTATATGATAAAAAAGTTTGTTGAATGAATGAACAAATATATTATTCACAATGTCACATTATCCTGAACTGACAAGAAAATTAAATATCTGATGTCAGTATTGGCAACATTATGAAGTAAATATAATTCTGATACAGTACTGGTGAAAATCTAACAAGAGATGCTCATTTTAGAAAACATTTTCTTGTAGATTTGAAAATGTTTAATCTCCATGAACTAGTTGTATATCTGCAAGTTGTGTATCTTTGGGTTAGGCATCTGCCCCCCACCAAAGACAGCCACATCCCAGTCTTCAGATAAGGTGAACATGCTACCTTATATGCTAAAAGGGGCTTTGCAGATGTGATTACCATTAAGGGCATTGAAATGGGGAAATTACCTTGAATTATCTTGGTGAGTCCAATCTAATCTCATAATTCCTTGAGAGCAGAGAATATTTTCTGGATGCAGAGATTCAGACAGATGGCAGTATGAGAAAGATGTAGCCTGCTATTGCTGGCTTTTAAAACAGTGGAAGGGGGCCACAAGCCAAGGAAAGCCAGTGACCTTTAGAAGCTGGGAATGACCCAAAGTTTACAACCAGGAAGAAACCGAGGATCTCAATCCTACAACCACAAGGAACTGAATTCTGCCAACAACCCAGATTCTCTCTTAGAGCCTTCAGAAAGAAATGCAGCCTGCCAACATCTTGATGTTAGTTCAATGAGAGCCATACCAGATTTCTAACCAGAACAACTCTAAGATAATAAGTTTGTGTGTGTGTTTTAAAACAGGCTAACAGCTTACAAAAATGTGTTCTTTTAAGCCACTAAGTTTGTAGTAAATTTTTATAGCAGGAATAGAAAACTGATACAACCCATTCTAACTGGTGTGAGATGGTATCTCATTGTGGTTTTGATTTGCATTTCTCTGATGGCCAGTGATGATGAGCATTTTTTCATGTGTCTTTTGGCTGCATACATGTCTTCTTTTGAGAAGTGTCTGTTCATATCCTTCGCCCACTTGTTAATGGGGTTGTTTGCTTTTTTCTCGTAAATTTGTTTGAGTTCATTTTAGATTCTGGATATTAGCCCTTTGTCAGATGAGTAGATCATTAAAAAGTCAGGAAACAACAGGTGCTGGAGAGGATGTGGAGAAATAGGAACATTTTTACACAACCATTGTGGAAGTCAGTGTGGCAATTCTTCAGGGATCTAGAACTAGAAATACCATTTGACCCAGCCATCCCATTACTGGGTATATACCCAAAGGATTATAAATCATGCTGCTATAAAGACACATGCACACGTATGTTTATTGCGGCACTATTCACAATAGTAAAGACTTGGAACCAACCCAAATGTCCAATAACGATAGACTGGATTAAGAAAATGTGGCATATATACACCATGGAATACTATGCTGCCATAAAAAATGATGAATTCATGTCCTTTGTAGGGACATGGATGAAACTGGAAACCATCATTCTCAGCAAACTATCACAAGGACAAAAAACCAAACACCGCACGTTCTCACTCATAGGTGGGAATTGAACAATGAGAACACATGGACACAGGAAGGGGAACATCACACGCTGGGGCCTGTTGTGGCATGGAGGGAGGAGGGAGGGATAGCATTAGGAGATATACCTAATGTGAAATGATGAGTTACTGGGTGCAGCACACCAACATGGTACATGTATACATATGTAAGAAACCTGCACGTTGTGCACATGTACCCTAAAACTTAAAGTATAATAATAAAAAAAAAGAAAACTGATACAACCCTAGAGAAAGTCTTGTACATATGCCCTATAAACACACAACAGAATTTTTTTAATTTTTTTATTGAGATAAAAATGTATATATATATAATTTACCATCTGTACATTTTTAGAGGCCAGTTTAGTGGTGATAAATACATTTATGTTTGCTTTTCTTCATCTCCTCTTCCCACTCCCCTTGCTGGCCTCTAGCAACCACCAATTTACTTTCTATCTTCATGAGATCCACTTTTTCACCGCCCACATATGAGTGACAACATGCGATATTTGCCTTTCTGTGCTTAGCTCATTCCATTTAACATAATGGCCTATGTTCATTACGTTAAGCGAAATGGCCAGCACCACTTATGTTGCTGCAAATGACAGAATTTCATTCTTCTTTGTGTCTGAGTAGTAGTCCATGATGTATATATATTACTTTTAAAATCTGTTCGTTTGTTGATGACCACTTATGTTGATTCCATATTTTGGCTATTGTGAATAGTGCTGCAATAAACATGGGCATGTAGAGATGTCTTTGATACATTGATTTCCTTTATTTTGGATATATATCCAGTAGTGAAATTGCTGGACCACATGGTAGCTCTAGTTTTACTTTTTTGAGGAACCTCCATACAGTTCTCCATAGTGGCTTTATTAATGTAAATTCCCACCAACAGTGTACTAGTGTTCCCCTTTCTCCACATCTTTGCCAGCATCTGTTATTGCCTGTCTTTTTGATACAAGCCATTTCAACCAACATGAGCTGATATTGCATTGTGGTTTTGATTTGCATTTGCTTGATGATTAGTGATATTGAACATTTTTTCATCTTCCTATTGGCCTTTTGAATGTCTTCTTTTGAGAAGTATCTGTTCAGATCTTTTGCCCATTTTTTTAAAAAATTGTATCTATTTATATATTTTTAACAATTTTTTTAGAAGCAAGGTCTTGCTGTGTCACCCAAGATAAAGGGCAGTGGCTTAATCATAGCTCACTGTAACCTCAAACTCCTGGGATTAAGAAATCCTCCTACCTCAGCCTCTTCAGTAGCCCATTTTTCAATCAGATTTTTTGATTATTATTGAGTTGTTTGAGCTTTTTATATATTGCAGTTGTTACTCCTTTATCAGATGGATAGTTTGAAAATATTTTGTCCCATTCTGTGGTTGGCACTTCACTTTGTTGATTATTTCCTTTGCTTGAGGCTTTTTAGCTTGATATAATCCCATTGTCTATTTTTGCCTTTGTTGCCTGTGCTTCTGAGGTCTTACGCAAAAAAATCTGCCCGGACCAATGTCCTGGAGCATTTCTCCTATGCTTTCTTTTAGTAACTTCATAGTTTCAGGTCTTAGATTCAAGTCTTTAATCTATTTTTATTCGATTTGATTTTTGTATATGGTAAGAGGGGTTTAATTTTATCCTTCTTCATTTAGTTATTCAGTTTTCCCAGGATTATTTATTGAAAAGACTGTTCTTTGCCCAGTGTATGTTCTTGATGCCTTTGTCAGAGATGAGTTGTTTGTAAATGTGTAGATTTATGTCTGAGATCTCCATTCTGCTCCATTGTCCTGTGTGTCTGTTTTTATGCCAGTAGAAATATATTGGCAATAATTAGTACAGAAAAGCTGAAACAATGAAATGACAAAAGTGAATTATATTGATATAATTCATTATGCTCACTAAATGCAATAGCATGCAGCTAGGAAAAACAATGTAGTGCACACAGTATTAAAATAAAACACAATTCAATATACACAGTGCTCACAGTGGCCATCATTAGAGTGTTGAAGAAGGGGATGTAGTCAGCAAAAGTTGTACAGGTGACTTCAAAAGTAATCATAAGCACTTATGATTACTTTTGGCTTAATTTCTTAAACCAAGACTGGAGACACAAGTGTTCATTGTGTGCTTATTCTATATATATATTATAAATATTTTATAAATATATTGTTTCTATTCAGTATTTAATAAAGTAAATCAATAGAAAAGGTTAAAAAGCAATGCATACATATTTCAAATATTTTTTTGCTCCAAATTATATAAGCATTGCATAGTTATTGCCCTGGGCCAGGTAAGGTGGCTCACACCTGTAATCCTAGCACTTTAGGAGGCTGAGGCAGGAAGAGAGCTTCAGCCCCAGAGGTCAAGGCTGCAGTGAGCCGTAATTGCACTACTGCACTCCAGCCTAGGTGACAGAGCAAGACGCTGTCTCAAGATAAAAATAAAAATAAGTTAATAAATAAATAAATATATGTGTATATATTAACTGATTTTATTAAGTATATATATAGTTAATATATATAACTATACATATATGTAGTTACTGTCTTGGTCTATAGTCAATCTTACAGTGCTTAAGACATTGATACTGAGAACAGTTCTCCTAGGTATATGCTGTGTTTCTGGGGTGACATGATGCTCTCATCAGGCCTCTGTGAGCCTAATTCTATCTTACATTTACCCCACTCTTCAACAACAACTTGGGAAGGTGTCCCTAAATGTTCCTAGGTGAACCCAAACCTGTGGCCCTCAACACGTTTCTAGGTAAAGCAAGCTCCTGACATATCTGTGGATATCCTCTCATTAGAAGAAGGGGGAAGAGACCATCTCAAAGAAATTCATTTAATATAGCTTTTCAGCATTAATTTTATTTTGACAAAGAGACACAAAGTAAATAAAATTTCTAAAAAACTATAAACTTTCAAGCATTTTCACACTAAGTCTAGCCCTGCTCACATGCCAGGGAATTATAAAGGTGATCTGTTTCTCAACCTGACCAAGATGCTATAGTAATTAAAAATAAACTCAATCCCTGGATCTCTACCAAAGGGTCTTTTCATATGGATCAAAGTGTATCTACTCATCACATTCTGGAAAAATTATTTGTCTGGAAATAGACAAATTATCCAAAATATAATAGAAATAACAGCCTCTGGAAAGGGCCAAATAAGACTCTTAATGATACAACAGCTAAATCTAGGTCTGATGCTTATTCTGTGTGGACAACAATAGCAGAGCTAATGGCTGATTTGTGGGAAGTAAACATTATGTTTGCAGAATCGTACACGATTTCAGTAGAAGGGCAAGGAAATTTCAGTTGGGAACAGATTGCTCCATGGTAATGTGATCACTATGTACCCAACAATGGCTCTTTCTTCCTAGCGTCAATGCAGATGTTGTTTTATCCTTAACTGTTATCATTTCTGTTTCTAATCACATAAAAGTGTATCCGTTACATATCTGAAGTAAATTCATACTAGTGGTGTAACATCTCCAGCCATTTAAGTGTAAAAAGAGAAAACGTATGATGTGTTTACTCACTGTTTTATACTCTGTAACGCATGAAGATCCTTTTATTCATTGCCTGTACTTTTATTTTTAAACTTTCTGAAACACTTTATGTTATATCCAGCATAGAACTGAGTTTTCCTTTTTGATTTAATCTGACAATATTTTTTTCCTCTAATAAGAGAGTCAAGCCCACTTACTTTTATTGGTAAATTCTGTTTGGTTATATTTTGGTTACAGCATGTTATGCTATGATCTATATGCACGTATCTTCTTTTGCTGCCTTGTTTGTTTTTATTGATTTTGTTTTGATGTTGTGATATTTGGAAGAGTTAAATTTTTATTCTGATGGCTACCTTATGTAACTTCATAAAATCATCTCTTTCTTTAGACAGTAGCTAATGTCTCTAAACTAAGAACAATGGTATTAACTCTTTCTTGTCTTCCCTATGTGATCTTTCATCTCCCAATTTGATATAATAATATTAACTTTGTTTCCCCTGATGCCATTAAGTATGCCTACATTTCTATAAACAGTATCCTTTGACTCCCAGGCATTACAGACGAGCAGTCAGTAAAATCATTCTGCAGAATACCTTCTTTTTCCTTTTCTTCTATTTTTCTTAGTTGTATCATTTCTATATTGCCAGAGCACCTACAGTTGCATTTCTTTCTGTCAGCTTTATCCAGCATTTGTTTTTGTCTTTTATTTGAAGTTAAATATATTCCTTGCTCACTACGACACTGGGGAGAGGAAGGTTTTTGTTGTCATTGTTGTGCTTGTACAGTTGCTTATTTAAAAACATTGGCAAAAACAAACAAAAAATGTATGTAGATGGAATGGAGATAAGACAGAAAATGAGAGAGATTGATGATGAGTGTGCTTATTCTAGACTGGGAGGGGTGCTGCACTGAGTAGTGTCTCAAGGCTGCAGGAAAGGATGGTTGATTGTGAGCAGGTGGAGTTTCCACTGAAGGAGAGAAGTCCTGCCTTCAACAACCTGTGCAGAACCAGGAACTGGTAATGGTTCAAATCAACTTACAGACCTGGAGGTAGAAATTTAAGAAAGCTCGTTTAGCACCTAGTTTCCTAGAAAATATTAGCTACTATTTGCTGAGCATCTGTCAGTCTGTCTGCAGCATGGAAGATCTGAGTACAGGGGAGACTGGATTAGTAACAGTGGGTCAGAAAATTATATAATATTCAACCAAAATTCCTGCTTTACATAGACGGCACCTGGTATTTCCAGAACTAGAAGGTAAAGAAATTATTTGTGCTTGAACTTGCAGAAAACTGCCTTTTCCCTTCTTCTCTTGCATCTTAACCTGGAGCTTCTCTTTTCTTGAGCCTCAGTGTCCTTCCCAACTCAATTTATAATTGACTTCCTGCAGTTTCTCCTTAGGACAGGGCTTTGTTTTGGGGGTGGTTAATTTGTAGGGTTCATAGGATACAGACCACTCACAGCACTGCTTTTTGCCATCCTCACTCTCAGCTGTGAGTTGAGGCCCAGGAAGCCTTCTGCCAGCCTCAGCTGCTGTTCTCAGATTAATCTGCTAAGTTCTTTTTGCCTAGTAGGAATCTCTGAATTTAGGAACATAGATGTTAGCAATTGTATTTCTAGTTTTTCCAGTTCCCAGGGCCATTAAAGATTTTTTTCCTTTCCTTTCCTTCTTCCAAAACAGTTGGTGATTCCCCTGGGTCTCTGTGGTTTAACCTCACAAAAGGTTCATGATGACACCCTGTTACATTGTTTTGTCATAGTTAATACCTTGTTATCCCAGTTGCTCAGTCAATTTTTGTGAGAGATTCAGGGATATTAATAAAACTGTGCTGCTGCTACTAGCATCTTGCATAAAAGCCCTATGAATTAAAATGTTTATTTTACGTGTGATTTGAACTTGTAATTTTTATTCAAAGTTTTTCAACAGAGATCCAGAGAAGACCCTCTTTATATTTGTAGTTTTGTGCATTGCAACACTTTTTAGTGAAAAAAAAAAAAACATGAGAACAACACAAGTGATTTTAAAAGAATAAACCTACAATCCATTAATTATAAAATGAAATACTGTGCAGGTGTTAAGAATGAGGGAATCAATAAGAACTTGTGTTGGGTAACTATAAACTCTTAAAAAATAAAGTATATGCTCATGTGACCATATTATCGTTTAAAAAAATACAAGCATACTTGCACACACCTTCAAGCAAAATGGGTACATGCATTTAAAAATATTTAAATTAAGTAAATGGTCCAATAATTTAACTTTGTAAAATTCTATGTTCTCTGATTATTTTATACACTAGAAACAGGCATTACTGTTTTGTTTATTTCATTTGAAATAATTGTAGTCACATGAGGTTTAAGTTATAAGACAGAGAGGTCACATATGCCTATTTTCTAATTGGATACCTTATTTATTACTATTGAGTTTTGAGAATTCTTTACATATGCTAGATGTAAGCTCTTTGTCAGATATATAGTATGCAAATTATTTCTCCCAGTCTGTAATTCATGTTTTCAACCTCTTTACAGGATCTTTCTAAGTTAAAAAAAAAAAAAGGTGTTTATTTATTTTAATGAAGTCCAGTTTTATCACTTTTTCCTTTTGTAGATTTTGTTTTTGATATCGAGCCTAAAAATTCTTTGCCTAGCCCAAGGTCTAAAGAGTTTTCTTCTATTTTTAAAAGTTTAATGAATGAATGAATTTATTTATTTATTTATTTATTATTTTTGACACGAGGTTTCGCCCAAGCTGTAGTGCAGTGGTGCCATCATTGCTCACTGCAGCCACGAACTACTGGACTGAAGTGATCCTTCTGCCTCAGCCACTTGAGTAGTAGCTGAGATTACAGGCACGAGCTACCATACATGACTTAAAGTTTTATAATACTACATTTTACATTTAAGCCTGTGATTTATGTGAGCTAAATTTTATATAAAGTATAAATTTAGGTCAATCTTAGTTTTTGTATCTATGAATGTCCAATTGCTCTAGCACCATTTGTTGAAAAAGGTATCCTTCCTTTAAACTGTTTTTGCATCCTTGTTAAAAAAAAATCAGTTGAATATTGTGTGGTCTGTCACCTTTTAATAAGATAAAAACATTAACACTCACCAGATATCGAAGTTTAGAAACTTTTTTAAAGCTAAACTTCTGAAAATAGAATACAAAATAAAAAACATGTCAAATTAGTCAATTTGCATAAGACCAGTTCATTTAAATATATTAAAATACAAACTAATTCAAACCACTAAATTGATAATGCAAGACTATAAATTTAAAGGCTAATTATTAAGTCAAACTGCTGAATTCTATGTGTTAGAGTGAGTTCAGAAAGATCCATTGTATTATTGAATAGGCAAAAGTTTTAATTTCAGAGGATGAAACTGACATATTACTGCCACCTTGTGGATATTCTGTTATTATAGGCTATTATAAAAAGCAATGAGGGTATGTAATCTGTTCTAACAAGAAACATTTCCTTTTTTTGTCGTTTTTATTATTATTATCATTACATTTTAAGTTCTGAGATACATATACAGAACATGGAGGTTTGTTACATAGGTATACACGTGCCATGGTGGTTTACTGCACCCATCAACCCATCATCTACACTAGGCATTTCTCCTAATGCTATCACTCCCCCAGCCCCCCAGCCCCCCACCCCCTGACAGGCCCCGGTGTGTGATGTTCCCCTCCCTGTGTCCATGTGTTCTCATTGTTCAACTCAAAAGAAAAAAAAAAGATGCATTTTCTGCTTTCCCAATTTTTTAAATACAATGCAACTTTATGTTTAATTTAACTAATTTAATTTTTTGAGACAAGGTCTAGCTCTGTTACCCAGGCTGGAGTGGAGTGGCATGAATATGGTTCAGTAACACCTCCACCTCCCTGGCTCAAGTGATCCTCCTTCCTCAGCCGCCTGAATAGCTAGGACCACAGGCATGCGCCACCATAGCCAGCTAATTTCTTTTTTCTTTTTTGTAGAGATGAGGTCTCACTTTGTTGTCCAAGCTGGTCTCAAACTACTGGGCTCAAAGGATCCTCCTGCCATGGCCTCCCAAAGTGCTTGGATTTATGGGTGTGTGCCATAGCACCAGGCCTAAGCAACTTTAGAGAAGCCTTTTTTTCTTTCATAAAAACAGTTGTAGATATTTTCCTTATGGAATTTATTTGTGATAATATATTTTAATAGATGGTTTAATTTGTTAAATAATTTGTCTCAGATAATAATAATTAATTGATATTAAAACTACAAAACAAGCAGGGTCTTCTTTTTCTATGAAAAATGAAAGTTGATTCTGACATCTATGTAAACATTTTAAATATTCAAAGTATATAAATGTGAAGTCCTATCAAGATTAATTAGACAAGAGAAAGAAATAAAGGGCATTCAGATTGGAAAGGAGGATGTCAAATTGTTCCTGTTTGCAGTTGACATGATCTTATATATAGGAAAACCTGAAGACTCTACCAGAAAACTTTTAGAACAAACAAATTCAGTGAAGTTGCAAGACACAAAACTAATACACAAAAATTGGTGGCATTTATATATATGAACAACAAACTAGCTGAAAAAGAAATCAAGATGGCAAACCTATTTACAATAGTTACCAAAAAAAACACCTAGACATAAATGTAACCAAGGAGGTAAAATGAAAACTACAAAACACTGATGAAAGAAATTGAAGAAGATACAAATAAATGAAAAGTAAAAAGTAGAAAGTAGAACAGAGGATACTGCAGGCTGAAAAGGGTAGGGAGAAAGGAGGGATAGTAAGAGATTTGTTAATGGATACAAAATTACAGCTAGGTAGGAGTAATAAGTTCCAGTGTTCTATAGCACTGTAGATGACATTCATGCTCATGGATCAGAAATACTAATGTTGTTAAAGTGACAGTACACTCAAAAGCAACCTACAGATTCAATGCAATCTCTATCAAAATACCAATGAATATTCTTCACAAAATTAAAAAAAAATCCAAAGAGATTGTATGGAAACAAAAGTATCCTGAATAGCCAAAGCAATCCTAAGCAAAAAGAACAAAGCTGGATGTATCATGCTACCAGACCTCAGAATATACTACAAAGCTGTAGTAACCAAAACATCATGGTACTGGCATAAAAACAGACACATAGACCTATGGAATAGAATAAAGAACACAGAAAATCCACATATCTCAGCCAATTGATTTTTTACAAAGATGCCAAGAACACTCATTGGGGAAAGGATAGTCTCTTCAATAAATGGTGCTTGGAAAACTGGATATCCAAATGCAGAAGGATGAAACTAGACCCCTGCCTCTCACCCTATACAAAAATCAACTCAAAGTATCTCAAATAACCAAATATAAGACCCAAAATGGTAAAGCTACTAGAAGAAAACATAGGGGAGATCCTTCAGGACATTGCTCTGGGAAAAGATTTTATGAATAAGGCATCAAAAGCACAGGCAACAAAAGAAAAGTAAACAAATGGGATCACATCAAGCTAAAAGGCTTCTGCACAGCAAAGGAAATAATGAAGTGAGTGAAAAGACAACCTACAGAATGGGAGAAAATATAAACTACTCATCTGGCAGGAAATTAATATCAAGAATATACAAGGAATTCAAACATATCAACAGCAAAGAAACCCAACAATCTAATTAAATATAAGCAAATGCTCTGAACAGACATTTCTCAAAAGAAGACATACAAATGACCAACAAATTTATGAAAAAATGTTCAACACCACTAATCAGCAGGGAAATGCTAATCAAAGCCACAATGAGGCATCATCTCATCCCAGTTAGGATGGCTATTATAGAAGAGACAAAAATAAACGCTGGCAAAGATGTGAAGAAAAGGGACTTTTTTTTTTGACAGTCTCATTCTCCGTCCAGGCTGGAGGGCAGTGGTGGTGTAACCTGGCTCCCTCTGCTTCTAGAGTTCAAATAGTTCTCCTGCCTCAGCCTCGTGAGTAGCTGGGGAAAAAGGAACTCTTATACACTGTTGGTAGGAATGTAAATTAGTGCAGCCAGTATGGAGAACAGTATTGAAATCCCTCAAGCAATCCCACTACTGGGAATTTATCCAAAGGAAAGAAAAGCATTATATTGGAGAGACATCGGCATCCCCATGTTTATTGCAACAGTGTTCACAATAGCCAAGATATGGAATCAACCTAGGTTTCCAATAACAGATGAATGGATTTTAAAAATGTGGTATATATACACCAAGGAAGGCTATTTAGCCATAAAAAAAGAATAAATAAAATCCTGTCATTCTCAGCAACATGGATGGAACTGGAGGATATTATGTTAAGCAAAATAAGCCAGGAATAGAAATTTCAACACCACGTGTTCTCACTCATGCAGAAGCTAAAAAAAAGTTGATCTCATAGAAGTAAAAAGTAGAACAGAGAATACTGCAGGCTGAAAAGTGTAGGGAGAAAGGAGGGATAGTAAGAGATTTGTTAACGGATACAAAATTACAGTTAGGTAGGAGTAATAAGTTCTAGTGTTCTATAGTACTGTAGATGACTATAGTTAACAATACTATATTATGTAGTTTAAAATACCAAGGAGTAGTTTGAATGCTCCCGACACAAAGAAATAATAAATGTTTGAGATGATAGATATGCTAATTACCCTGATCTGATCACCATCTACATGTATTGAAACATCCCCATATAGCAATGAATATGTATAATTTTTGTCAATTTAAAAAGTAAAAAAAAATTAATCTTGAAGAATGCATTTGAAGAACTTGTACTCAAGAAATCAGCTTATTTTAAGAACTTGAGTCTCCTTGGAATTTGTGTTTTCTAGACCAGTACTTCTCCAAATTAAAGCAAATTTAGGCTGGGCATGGTGGCTCATGCCTATAATCTCAGCACTTTGGAAGGCCGAGGCCAGCAGCTCACTTGAGGTCAGGAGTTCAAGACCAGCTGACCCAACATTGTGAAACCCTGTCTCTACTAAAAATACAAAAATTAGCCGGGCATGATGGCATGCGCCTGTAATCCCAGCTACTTTGTAGGCCGAGGCAGGATAATCGCTTAAACTGAAGAGATGGAAGTTGCAGTGAGCCAAGATTGAACCACTGCACTCCAGCCTGGGCAACAGAGCAAGACTCTGTCTCAAAAAAAAAAAAAAAAAAAGCGAATTTAGTTCACTTTGGTATTGTGTCAAAATGTAGATTCTTTTAAAGTAAATCCAGAGAATTTAGATGTAGTTGAAGCTTGTAATCTGTTCTTAATTTTTTTTAATAAAAATAAAATATTTAGATTTAGAGTAAATCTAAAGTGAGGCCTGAAGCTGCTCCCAGGTGATACTGATGCTGCTCATTTTTGCCCAAATTTTGAGTCACAAGATTCTAAATTAGTGGTTTGAAGTCCTACATGCGTAATCACTTGGGGAGCTCAATTAACACCCAGCACAGACTAATTATTAATAAATCAGAATCTTCAGTATTAGGCTTCAATCATTGGCTTTTTTTTTTTTTTTTTTTGAGATGGATTCTCCCACTGCTGCCCAGGCTGAAGGGCACTGGCACGATCTTGGCTCACTGCAAGCTCTGCCTCCTGGGTTGACGCCATTCTCCTGCCTCAGCCTCCCGAGTAGCTGGGACTACAGGCACCCGCCACCACGCCCAACTAATTTTTTTGTATTTTTAGTAGAGACGGGGTTTTACCGTGTTAGCCAGGATGGTCTCGATCTCCTGACCTCATGATCCGCCTGCCTTGGCCTCCCAAAGTGCTGCGATTACAGGCGTGAGCCATCGCGCCCAGCCAATCATTGACATTTTTAAAGGTCCCAGGTGATTCTAATGTGAGGTCTTTACAGACATCTTGTAAGTTAAAAACTATAAAGTGTAAAATTGTCTTTACCTCCCTTTTGGAAACCACAAATGTATGTCAAAGTTAGAACAGAAGTAGAAAGCATACAAAAATGAACTTGACAATACCCATCTACAGATCCGTGATAGGCATTTGTGTACAACTTGACCTACGTGACATTTAAGGTCAGTTTGCTCCGATTATTATTAAGAATAAAGTCAACTACAATGATGGCAATATGTTTCATCGACAGCAGTTCACCCATTGAGTGTTGATACCGTGGGTCTGAGTGAAGCTGAGGGTGGAGGAAACACAGGGTGAGGGAGCGGGATAGTTTGCCCCTTCAAGGATTGACAGGATATAACACAAAAGGCGGGAGGGGGGAAAGAATAAAGTCTACCTTCTGAGTAAAGCAAAGCAAAGTGTTCTCAGCCAATCCAAGTGGCGCCTGTAAATACCATTATCTAGAGAAAATATGATTAAAGAAGTGGCTTTTCTGTGTAGGAAGGTAAGAAGTTTCTGGATATTTGTACTGAGTAGGAATCAAGATTTCTGGGTAGAGAGGCTGGAAGAAAATCAGCGCCTAGTCCAGGAAAAAAAAAAAGAAAAAGAAAACTTCTCCGAATTTTTCTGCTTGAATTCCATGAACTCAAACTTGTAATTTAGTCTTTAAACATAATAGTGAGTCATAATATTGCCTACGTATACGTGGAAGAAAATGTTGTTTTACCTATCTTCCCAATGGGAAAAAAGTGGCTCATAAAGAAACCTTGACTTCCAACTAAACTTTCAGGTTACTTAGCCTCACATCCATTCCACTAAAATACAAGTGTGTGCTCTAAGTAGAAAGTAGAAGGATGGTTACCAGAGGCTGGGTTGGGAGAAGGGGAGGAAGGGAGTGGGAGCCTGTTGATCAAAGGGTACAAAGTTTCAGATATGGGAGGAACAGGTTTTGAGATCTATTGCACAGCAGAGTGACTGTAGTCAATAATAATGTACTACATACTTCAAAATAATGGTAAATTTCACGTCTCACCATAAAAAATGATGGGTAAGTGAGATGATGGATATGTTCATTAGCTTGATTTAATCATGCCACCTTATATATATATATATATATATCTCACATTGTAGCCTATAAATGTATACAATTATGGTTTGTCAATCAAAAATATTTATATAAATTTTTAAAATATCTGTACGCTAATAGAGATATTACAATCAGTGCCCATAGAGGAAGAAGGAGGATGTTGGATGAGTATATTTTCTTCTGATCCAACTGACTCTGCATGAAGCTTAAAAAAGTCAATTACCTCCTTTCCTTCTTTCTAGGTAGCTTTGTTGAGGTATAGGTGACCTGCAATAAACTCCACATATTTAAAACTGCACAATTTGAGAAGTTTTGACATATATAAATATACGTGTGTAAGACCACCACCATAATCAAGATAATAAACATCAATCACCTAAAAATTTCCTTGTGCCACTTTCTGTTTTGTTTAAGATGGGATCTTGTCATGTTGCCCAGGCTGTTCTCAAACTCCTGGGTGCAAGTAATCCTCCTGCCTCAGCCATCCACAATGCTGGGATTACAGGCCTGAGCTACTGCCCTCGGCCTCCTTATGCCACTTTGTAATCCCACCCTCCTGACCTTCCCTGCTGCTCCTCTCCAAGCAACTACTGATCTGCTTTCTGTCACTATAGATAAGTTTGCATTGTCTAGATTGTTATATAAATGCGTCATAGAGTATACATTTGTTGTTTTTGCCTGGCTTCTTTCACTCAATATTTGTCATGAGATTTGTCCTTGTTATGTGCATACATTTTTATTGCAAAATAGTGTTTGATTGCTTGACTATATCAGTTTGTTTAACCTTTTATAGTACTTGTTAATGGAAATCTTTGTTGTTTCCCGTTTGAGGGGGTAATTGTTTGTTTGTTTGTTTGTTTGTTTTGAGATGAAGTCTCACTCTGTCACCCAGGCTGGAGTGCAGTGGCATGATCTCGGCTCACTGCAACCTCTGCCTCCCAGGTTCAAGCAATTCTCCTGCCTCAGGCTCCCAAGTAGCTGGGATTACAGGTATGCACCACCCCACCAGGCTAATTTTTGTATTTTTAATGGAGACAGGGTTTCATCATGTTGGCCAGACTGGTCTCAAATCCCCGGCCTCAGGTTATCCACCCTCCTCGGCCTCTCAAAGTGTTAGGTGACATGAGCCACCAAGCCCGGCGTGAGGGTATAATTTTTAAAAAGCTTCTGTGAACATTCATACACAAGTCTTTATATGGACATATGCTTTTGTTTCTCTTGAGTAATACCTAGGAATGAAATGGCTGGACCATCTGCCTGTTTTCTGACAGCATCCAATTAGAGCAAACCCCTTCTTTCTTAGACATTCACTCATCTCCCAACCAAAGGGTAAGTCCTATAATAGGTTCCTTTTAACATCCTATTACTGAGACACCCATTGGTTTCTCTTGGTATGTGTTCTCCTTGTAGCAGGCCAGGCATGGTGGCTCATACCAGTAGTTCCAGCACTTTAGGAGGCCGAGGTGGGAGGACAACTTAAGGTCAGGAGTTCGAGACCAGCCTGGCCAACATGATGAAACCCCGTCTCTACTAAAAATACAAAAATTAGCCCAGTGTGGTTGTGGGCACCTGTAATCCCAGCTACTAGGAAGGCTGAGGCAAGAGAATACTTGAACCTAGGAGGAGGAGGTTACAGTGAGCCGAGATCATGCTATTGCACTCCAGCCTGGGTGACAGAGCAAGACTCCGTCTCAAAAAAAAAAGGAAAAAAGAAAGTTGTAGCAAATCTAATTAATTACGAGTGTGTTTCTATAGGTCTTTGCCTGTAATTATTGTCTAGAATTTTTTTCCATTTTACTTAAATCATCTGGTTTATTGGCATAAAGTTCTTCAAAGTATTTTCTTACCATTCTTTTAATATCTATAAAATCTACAGCCATATCACCTTTTTTATTCCTGATATTGGTAATTTGTATCTTCTCTTCATTTCCTTATCAGTTTTACTAATGGTTTATCGAGTTTATTGATCTTCTCAAAGACCAATAGGTTTTGGGTTTATTGATCTCAATTGTTTTTGTTTTCTGTATCACTGAATTTTGCTAAGATTATTACTTCTGTGATTCTGCATACTTTAGGTTGAATTTCTATTCTTTTTCTAGTTCTTATGATAAAATATGAAGTTATTGATTTTTTTTTCTTTTCTAATATGTAGGCTTTTAGTGCTAAAAATTTCCCTTTCAAGTACTGCTTTACTTGCATTACATACATTTTTGTATGTTGTGTTTTCACTTTAAAACACTTCCTGATTTCTCTTTAGATATCCTCTCTGAGTCATAGGTTATTTAAAATATGTTATTTGGTTTCCAAATAATTGAGAATTTTTCAGATATCTTTCTGTTACTGATTTCTAATTTAATTCCATTGTGCTCAGAAAATGTATTTTGTGTAATTTGAACCATTTCAAACTTGGTTAGTTTTATGTCCCAGAATATGAACTATCCTGTTAAATGTTTTCTGTAATGTTGAAAAAAAATGCACAATCTGCTGTTGTTGGTTGACAGTGTTGCACCATCTTATATGTTTCTATTGATTTTATGTCTACTTTTTCTATCAACTGTTGACAGAGAAATTTAAAAATCCATTATAATTAGGAACGTGTTCGATTCTTCTTGCAGTTCTATCAGTGTCTGCTTTATGTATATTGAAAGCTTGTTCATAGGTGCATAAATGTTTAGGATCATTATGTCCTCTCGATGAGTTGATCACTTTATGATTCTAAAATGACCTAATTTTATCACTGCTAATATTCTTTGCTCTTAAATATACTTCCTCTAATGTATTAATAGCTACTCTTGCTTTTTTCACTAGTGTTATCAAGTTACATCTTTTTTTCTGTTATTTTCCTTTTAACCAATTTGTTTTTATAGTTAAAGTTCATTTCTTATATGGCATATATAACTGTGTCTTTTGTATCTTGTTCTTCTTAACCTGGCTTTTTATTGGAATGTTTACATCATATACCTTTAATATGATTATTGGTACGGTAAAGTTTAATTTTATCATCTTACTATTTGTTTTCTTTTTTCTTTCTTTTTTTATGTGTTTTTTGTTTGTTTGTTTGTTTTGTTTTTTTGTGCTGACCATGGAAAGGACAGCTATTTGTTTTCTGTTTGTTACAAGTATTCTTTTCCTCTTTTTCTTCTTTTGGATTGAATATTTTATGATTAAATTTTATCTACTTTTTTGCTTGTTCGCTGTATGCTTTGTTATTTTAGTGACTGCTTTAGGGTATGTATCTTTAAATTATCAGTTTACCTATGGGTGATATTATACCACTTCATGTGTAGTATAAGCACTTTACAATAATACACATCCATTTCTTGTCTACATGTATATTGCAATAATATACATCTATTTCTTGTCTACATTCAGTACAATAATATTCGTTCATTTCTTAAATCATATGGGTAAGATATTTGTTGACTTAGGACAGACAGCACGAAAGACTAGAGAAATTCAAAGCATGATAATTGAGGGTAGCTGCCTCTAACAGCAAAGGGTATCTCAAAGATGTATATAAATAGACTCAAGTTTCTTAATTATCATTCAGTAACATTCTAAAACTTTGAGACTGATATCCTCCTTTTCCCTCACACAAATTCTTATTTCCTGCAAGTGAAAGGCTAAGGTTGTTATAAACAAATGCCAAGTTTGTTTCTGTCACTTGACAAACTGCAAGGTCGGTTGAATCCGGGTTTTGGAATCTCTTTTATCTTTTTTTTTTTTTTTTTTTTTTTTTGAGACGGTATCTCACTCTGTCTCCCAGGCTGGAGTGCAGTGGTGCCATCTCCGCTCACTGCACGCTCCGCCTCCTGGGTTCATGCCATTCTTCTGCCTCAGCCTCCCAAGTAGCTGGGACTACAGGCACAGGCCACCACGCCCGGCTATTTTTTTTTTTTTTCGGTATTTTTAGTAGAGACGGGATTTCACTGTGTTAGCCAGGATGGTCTCAAACTCCTGACCTTGTGATCCGCCCACCTCGGCCTCCTAAAGTGCTGGGATTACAGGCGTGAGACACCACGCCCAGCCTGGAATCTCTTAACTGAAAGTCTGAGCACTGATTTTAAAAGAGCAAGATACCAAACACTGGAATGTGAATATACAGAGGTACTTAGAGGATTTAGAGTCCAGCTTTCCAGCCTGTGTGGCCCTTCCTTTCCCTGAGGAAAATGAGCCTCCTAGACTCTCACTCAAAGGAATTTTCCTACTTTTAAAGAAAATATCCATAGTCTTCATAACTCATTGTCTCCCAAATAGTAACCAGGTTAAAATGGAATCAAACCCAAAAAGGCTTTTTCCATAGCATATCATAAACAATGCTTACACATTGCAAGAATTACAGATTTTAGCATTTCATATTGGCCACTATCTTGCAAATGCATGGATTATAGATTCTGGTGATAAATGACAAAAAAGAAAATTTTAGATTAGGGTGAATTTACCAGTGTAATGTGTTTACCAGACATTGTATGTTCAAGGTGCTAGCTCAGGTACCTGGAAGTAGTCTTAGTTAATTGATCATCATTGGTCTGTGTATGTACTTCTTGATTCACAAAAATCTAACCTTATAGAACAGTGGAATGCTTTTTGATGACTCAGACACAGTAGCATTTTCTAATTCAAAAAAAAAAAACAAATACAGAGTCTCGCTCTGTCGCCCAGTCTGGAGTGCAATGGCGCAATCTCGGCTCTCTGCAACCTCTGCCTCCTGTGTTCAAGCGATTCTCCCGCCTCAGCCTCCCATGTAGCTGGAATTACAGGTGCCCGCCAGCACACCCAGCTAATTTTTGCATTTTTAACAGAGATGGGGTTTCACCATCTTGGCCAGGCTGGTCTTTAACTCCTGACCTCGTGATCCACCTGCCCCTGCCTCCCAAAGTGCTGGGATTACAGGCATAAGCCACTGCGTTCAGCCTACAGTAGCATTTTCTAGACAACATTTTGTGAGTTTGAAGTGCTGTCCTGAAGGACTTCAAACTCAGCTCAGTTGAGCTGAGCCGCAACTAATACACATGTAGTGCCATTTCTCCCACAACCAGAAAATATATCTCAGGAAACCAAGCATAGAGAAAAGGTAGTTCTTCTCATGATTACATTTGAAGATCCACTGTAGTCCCCACAATTCTGGACTCTGATGATTTAGAGGTTCCAGTCCCTACAGAGCAAATGTTTCTGTCAGGGGAAATAATAGTTACATAGATATGGCTCCAACCTGGCTATCTTAAGCCTCTCATGCCACTGAACAGAACACAACACTGTAGGCAGAAGATGAATTTACCGTTGGCTGGAGTGGAAAATTCTTGTGGTAAGAAAGAATTGAGATTCTTGTCATAAGAAGATAAGAGTTACCATTAAACTGAGATAATAATCTAAATCACCTCCTCAAACCTACATTCAGTGCAAAAGGTTCACTGAGATTACTAAACTAGAGGGTACAGCAAGGGTTCAGGTCCCTTAGAAATGAAGGTAAATAATTCTGAATAGCTGAGATACTTGCTGAAAGCAAAGGGAATATGGGAGAAAAGTGGTGGAAGGAAGTTATAAGTGACTTTATAATGAAATGCTGAAACAAAAATTTTAATCTCATGTGTCTCATTTCTTACTGTAACATGTATATATTCTTACAGTTTATCTTAAATTTCTTTTCTCTCTCCCTATTACATATATATTTTTTATTTTTTTTTTTTTAATGGAGATGGCATCTCACTCTGTTGCCTAGGCTGGACTCAAACTCCTTGGCTCAAGCCTCAGCCTCCAAAGTAGCTGGGACTACAGGTATGAGCCACCATCTTGGCTAAATTTTTAGTTTTAAGAGACAGGGTCTCATTTGTTGCCCAGGCCGGAGTGCAGTCACATGATCATGACTCACTGCAGTCTCCAACTCCTGGGCTCAAGCAATCCTCCTGCCTCAGCCTCTCAAATAGCTGGAATTACAGGCACGAGTCACTGAACCCAGCCTCCTATTGCATATAGAGGTAAACGGGATGTGAAAGTAGCAGTTAGCTTTTCAGTTTTGTTCATAGGATGAGACAACTGAGTTGGAATCATGACAGAACTACAAGAAGAATGAGCATCAACTAGAAAGCTAGATTTGCAGCTGGATGCAATAACCACAAGACTTTGGGTCGATTTTTTCCCATCGTATAAAAGCAACTCTAAAAGTAATAGTTATCTTCATTCTTGAAGAAAAGTTTCTGATTCAATAGCTCTAGAATTGCCCTGAGACTGCACTTCTAACAAGTTGCCAGGTAATATTGACGCTGTTGTCTGGGGATCTCACTTTGCGAACCACTTCTCTAAATAATACTCTAATGCATTTTTTTCCTGTCTGTTTAGAGAAATGATGAGTGTAGTCCTGTTTGCTAAATGTGAAAATTACAAAACTTCCACTGGGGATGTGTTTTTTGGAAGTTTATTGGAAGATTAATATGTACAGATATTGGGCAGGCAGAAAAAAAGAGACTATATAACTGTTTGCTGGTGTATTTTTGTCTGTACAGCATTTGAACACCCTTTCTATGTTTGTGGAATGTTCTGCTGTGTGATTCTTCATGGTCTCAGAATCTATAAAGTCTAGACATCTGTCTTCCCTGACCCTGGTAGAGCACAGGCACATGATCTCACTGTTCTATGGTGGTGGTGATCATGGGGATCATCTCTAAAACAAGGGGTGCCATCCAGTGTCCCGCTGCCGCAGCCATACCAGCCTCACCAGATTGTTCCTCTGTCATCATTTTTGCCATAGTTATGATTGACTGGCCACTTTAATCACTGCCCACTTCAAAAAAAAAAAAAAAAAAAAAGATTCTCTAATCTTGCCAGAGATTCTATGAGCTACTATTTCTTTTCTGTTCAAGTTAGAGTAATGTATATTGTTTGCAAAATAGAAGCTAACAGAAACCAAAGCATAGGCCAAAAATGATACAGATTACAGGCAATACAGTTTACAATGGAGACATTTTAATGACAGGCAAAACACCCTTTCACTTAGGTGAAATGTCACTTCCCAATGCTTACAGATCAAGTATCCAAAGCATTTTTTAAAGTGGAAGGTAAACAAGAATCACCTTCCTCTAAATTCTGAAATTCTGTACTCAAACATGAGTCTTAAATTTGGTTTCACCAAAACTGATCAAATGGGATAAAAGTATAAGATGCAGGAAAGCTGATTGTCTAGTAGGGTAGAGTCTCTCTTTCACTGTATTTTGCTGAGTGGGAGGTGGGATCTCCTCAGGCCAATAAATTGTAAAGACAGACTCTTCTCTAAGCAATATATAAAATGCAATGTTTTGATGTTGCAACACCACTTTTGTAGTATACCTGCTCACCATGCCAAAGATGACAACAGGTAGGGCAAAAATAATGGTCCTAGGGTCTCTGTATCCTTCACTGTTGACTAAAGTTAAATGCTTTTTAAATCTTTTTGAAGAAAAATTTTTAACAGTGTTTTCATTTGACTATAATTATCCTCTGATTATTGCACATTTAATACTCTGCTTTATATATTTAGTTTGAGGGGATTTTATCCCATTTCTCAATATGGCAGTAAAAAAGAATTCTATGAAATGGTCCAATAAAATGTGTATCATATATATTTAAGGTGTGCAACATGGTGTTTTGATGTATGTATACATAATGAAGTGGCCACAACATTCCAGCAAATTAAACTATCTATGACCTACCATGATTACTGGTGTGAGTGAGTGCATGCGCGTGTGTGTGTGCGTGTGTGTGTGTGTGTGGTGAGAGCACCTAAAATCTACCCTCAACAAATTTTTATATGCAATACAATGTTATCAACTACAGTTCTCACGCTGTACATTAGATCTCTAGATTAATTTATCCTATAAAAGTGCAGTTTTCTACCCCTTGACCTACTACTTTCCATTTCCTCCTCCTTCCTGCTCCTGAAAACCACCATTCTTCTCTCTGTTTCTACGTGTTTGACTTGTTTTAGACTCCACATAAAAGTAAGCTCATGCAGTATTTTCCTTTCTGTGTCTGGCTTATTTCACCTAGTGTAATGTTTTCCAGATTCCAGGTCTTTTTAATGAAAAGAGATTTTAAGGAGAAGTAAAACAAAAGTTTGTGTTGGTTAGAGACTTAGTTTTGTTGTGGACAGATGACTTGTGTGTGTTTCAGGACTTAGAATAGGTAGCCAGGTACAGTTTTGGTCTTTGTGAAGGCCAGAGACCATTCACTGAACCAGCTATTTTATGTCTTCTGGGGCCCCACCATGATTCTCTTACTCTCTGTATCTTCTTTAATCTTTTTTACCTTTGTATTAGTCCATTTTCTTGCTGCCAATAAAGACATACCCAAGACTGGGAAGAAAAAGAGGTTTAATTGGACTTACACTTCCACATGGCTGGGGAGGCCTCAGAATCATGGAGGGAGGCAGAAGGCACTTCTTACATGGTGGCAGCAAGAGAAAATGAGGAAGAAACAAAAGTAGAAAGCTGCGATAAACCCATCGGATCTCATGAGACTTATTCATATCACAAGAATAGCACAAGAAAGACCAGCCCCCATGATTCAATTACCTCCTTCTGGGTCCCTTCCACAACAGCAGGAATTCTAGGAGATAGAATTCAAGTTGAGATTTGGATGGGGACACAGCCAAATCATATCATTCCACCCCTGGCCTCTCCAAAACTCAATTCTTCACTTCTGTGCAACTGCAGGCTCAACACCACATGGAAGCTGTCAAGGCTTGAGACTTCCACCCTCTGTAGCCACAGCCTGAGCTCTATGTTGTCCTCTTTCAGCCACAGGTGGAGTGGCTGGGACACAGGGCACCAAGTCCCTAGGCTGCACACAGCACGGGGACCCTGGTCCCAGCCCACAAAAATCACGTTTTCCTCCTGAGCCTCTGGGCCTGCAATGGGAGGGGCTGCTGAGAAGTTCTCTGACATGGCCTGGAGACATTTTCCCCATGGTCTTGGGAATTAACATTAGGCTCCTTGCTACTTATGCAAATTTCTGCAGCTGACTTGAATTTGTCCCCTGAAAATTGGTTTTTTCTTTTCTATCACATTGTCAGGCAGCAAATTTTCCGAACTTTTATGCTCTGCTTGCCTTATAAAACTGAATGCCTTTTAACAACACCTAAGTCACCTCTTGAATGTTTTGCTGCTTGGAAATTTCTTCCACCAAATACCCTAAACCATGTCTCTCAAGTTTAAAGTTCCACAAATCTCTAGGGCAGGGGCAAAATGCCATCAGTCTCTTTAATAAAACATGACAAGAGTCTCCTTTGCTCCAGTTGCCAACCAGTTCCTCATCTCCATCTGAGACCACCTCAGCCTGGATTTTATTGTCCATATTGCTATCAGCATTTTGGACAAAGCCATTCAACAAGTCTCTAGGAAGTTCTAAACTTTCCCACATCTTCCTGTCTTCTTCTGAGCCCTCCAAACTCTTCCAGTCTCTGCCTGTTACCCAGTTCCAAAGTTAATTCCACGTTTTTGGGTATCTTTTCTGCAGTGCCCCACTCTACTGGTACCAATTTACTGTATTAGTCCGTTTTCATGCTGCTGATAAAGATATACCTGAGACTGGAAAAAAAAAGAGGTTTAATTGGACTTACACTTCCATGTGACTGGGGAGGTCTCAGAATCATGGCAAGAGGTGGAAAGCACTTCTTACATGGCAGCAGCAAGAGAAAATGAGGAGGAAGCAAAAGCGGAAACCCCTGATAAACCCATTAGATCTCATGAGACTTACTATCATCAGAATAGCATGGGAAAGACTGGACCCCAGGATTCAATTACCTCCCCCTAGGTCCCTCCCACAACACGTGGGAATTCTGGGAGATACAATTCAAGTTGAGATTTGGGTGGGGATGTGGCCAAACCATATCAACCTGCACAAACCAGAGTGTGCCATAACTTCATCACTAGATGATCTGAAAAACTCCCTTCACTCATTCATTAATAGCCTTGCTTCTCTGAGCCTAAGAAAAAGAATTTTGTATGGAAGGTGGGATAGTAGTGAGCAGGGCTGGCAAATGTTTGGCAGCTTTTCTCAGAGTGGTCTGAGACTTAGCAGGAAATGAATGCTCAGTCTCAAAAACTGGCAATATAATATAGGGAACTATGGGGTTATGGATGTGGCTTGTAGAATAGGGATTATATTCCTCTTGTTATGAATTAGACTGTCCTTGGTCAGGTTAGCTGGCCAAGAAAAGTAACCAGTTAATAAAAATAATTCTCTTTTAAAATAACAAATGAATTTCAACTCACCACAATAAAAATATCAAATAATTTTAGTTTCTCCAATGGTTAACTCAAATTGTAAAATTGTTAAACACCCTCTTCTTGCTATTTTACTTTGTTAGAGATCTTTGAAAAATACTATAGAAGGCTGGGGCTTTCTTAGCCATTTGCCATATAACAAAGCCTCCTTTATCTATAGACATATGAATTTATTACATTATCACTAGGAGGGCTTAGTGACACAAGCCCTCCCTTTGGGTTTGTCTGTTTCTTTATGATGTTGGTGATCTTTGTTGATTTTGTGGTTGCCTGGTCTCCATGTATTTGGCTTGCCTGTATTTCCTTAGTGCAGTTTTCCTTTGAGGGGAGGTGAGATTCAAAAGCTAGATCATGTGGGTTTTTGGTAGCCACTCTAATGAGTCTAAATTTGGGGGAATTTGGGGTTGTTTATAGTTTTTATTTTTTCTCAGAGATCCTTGTTCTGATAAATTTTGTTTTTAAGTTTAAAGACAGGGCTTTGGAAAATTTTAAGTTATAACTTGATCTGATTTTTGACTTAGGAAGGACATTCTATTGAGTCAAAGATGGTCTGCAAAGGTGGAGAAAGAGAACCCAATAAAAATGCTTTACATGAGAGATTATTGTGGCTAAGATTAGAATAATGGCGGTGAAGATGGTAAGCAGCTAGATTCAAGATACATTTTGATTGCAGAGCCAATAGAACATACTAAAGAATTCTATGTGAGGTGTGAAAGAAAATGAGGAGTGAAGTGCCAAAGAATGGGGCACACTCAAATTCTACAATGTAGCCATTAAAACCACTGGAGAAAGTAGGATAATATCTTGGTGGGGACAATGATGAAAAAAGGAAGCAAATTATATAATCAGATGGAAGTGACTTCAGAAGAGAATGTGCAGGGAATAATGGTGACAAAGCAAAGATCTGTCCTTCCTCTCTGACCCCATGAGTCAATGGAGAGGCAAGAAAAGGAAATGTCCATTTAACTGGTTTTCAGAAAAAAGTGGTATCAAGTGAAAATAGGTGTCAGACAAGAGGGGGTAGAAAAAGATATGTTAGAGAGAGGATTCAAAATATAAAGGGATTTATACACAATAAAATGATACTAAAGGGATACAGGGACTGCAGCTGTAAATAAGGCTATAGGATGAGAGTTTGTGAAGGAATAGCACTGGAGGTACCCTAATCATGGCACTATTAGTTAAAGCTATTATGGAAAATAGCTTGAAGGTGCATTTTAATGATAAGGGATGAGCAATGTTAAATCGGAAAATCTGGTTTAAAGGCCAAGTTGTAAAACTTACCAGTGTCAAGGTTCCAACTAGAATGCTAGCATGATAGGAGGCATATCCTACGCTGATAAGAAGGTATGGATGGTCTATTTTACACATTTACCTGGTAGGTCTTTTCTAATTTCTACATTTATTGTTGAGTAGAGTAATTATGACATCAGAAGGAAATCATCCAATCATGGTTTCTGCTTTCCTTTTAAAATTTCTTCTCACTTTTATCAGTCTTTCACCTCTTCTCACTATCTAGACTTCTTTTGTCTCACCTCTCCTCTGTGATATAAGTTCTGGTATATTGTTTAATGTACTAATTTTCTAACATCTTATTTTATGTTTGAAACTAATTTTTGCCAATTTTGTGGCCCAGAATCTTAAAAATACTTAACCACAGTGGTTCATGTCTGTAATCTCAGCACTTTGAGAGGCCAAGTTGGGAGAATTGCTTGAGCCCAGGAGTGCGAGACCAGCCAAAGCAACGTAGTGAGACCCCATCCTATAAAAGAGAAAAGAAACAAATACCCAACTGGAATATAATTCTTGTGCTGAATCACAGCTATCATAACATCAACGATTCACATTTTTGAAAGTGAACATTGCTTTCTGGATGACCACAACATCATGTGGGCCTATTCATTTCCCTAGTAATGCCACCTTGTGACATCACTAAGGGCATAATGTCTGTATCTATACAGTGAGCCTCTCATATGCAGAATAAGGCAACATTTTCAAGCAAAACCTGAAATTTTGTGGCACAGCACCTGGTGAGACTGTGGGTTTGACAAATATCTCACCACTTTATCATCAAGTTAAACATTATTCTTTTTTATTAAAGCTTAATAATTAAAGCTTAATTCTGCAAGTGAAATTTATATATACTGCTTTATTAGTACATATATGACACTTTGTTTTCAAACATTGCCATAACCTGTTTGAAGGAACTTGAGCTTCAGGGTTACAAAACTGCTTCTGCTATGATGGAGAAGAGGAGGAAAAAATGCTTAGATAAGAGCAATTTAACTTAAATGGAGGAAGTGGTGAGTTTTGTTATGTTAGAGGCTCACTGAATCATGAGCAGGTCAAATGTGTCAAATAGCTTCATTGAGAGACTGGTTTTCAATACTCAAAGTTTTTATATACTATTAGCTTTGATGGAGAAATTGAAAAGGATTGCCCTACGTCAACAGTGTTGCTTTGTTAAGTGTGCTTTGCAAAGTACAAGTATTTGCCAAGATGGTAATAATTAGCAATTACTTTTTGATAGCAGCCTTCTGTTACAAACTTAATTAACATAGAATTTTGAATGCTTGCAGTGTCTATATTGACAAAAGTCCAAAGACTTGTTGAGCCAGCTAACTGGGCTTTTTACAATGGCTTTTCAAGATTGCAGATGCCGCCTACAGAGACGACAGTCATATTTGAGGTAACATTGCTCATTCTTGGAACTCTTTAATCTAATTTTAATTTAGGGAGATTATTCAAACTGGCAAACTGTGTTAAATAATGCATTGATTTATTCTATTACTCAAACTTCAATTAGCAATAAAAAACACAAAATGAGCAAGAAAAAATAAATTTAATAAATAGCTTAGCAACTTTATTCATTAGTTTCTACCTTCTCTTTCTTCAGTAAATCTTTTCCTGGAGATAATTTTGATCTGCCTCTTGAGGGCTATGTAGTCAACAGTGAATGGTCCAATGGGTAGCAAATAGAAAAAGCCAAGAGTCTAAAAATTGACAAATTACACAATCAATACCCAAAATGTTTATATGTACAAAAATAACATTTGATATTGTTTGAGACCTTTGTGTGTCACCTGTTAAACACTGGAGAGTTATTAAAATCCCAGTATTATTTCATAATGTCACACATAAAAATAATTCTGAGTGCTCTTGGAAAATGTTTCTTAAGCCATATTTGAGGGGTTTAGTTACTTCACTGGATATTGAACCTTTTGAATAATTCTATTCTAATTCCCTATATTTGGTGTTGTGTGTATGCATATAAGGGGGAACAAACTCACTTTGTTATGAAAATGTTTTTTGAAAGATGTTTCTCTCTAAAATAAAAAACACTGGAGGAGTCAGTCAAGGAATGTCTAACAGGCTAGTAGCTGAAAAAGCTGAAGTTAGTTGGGACTTAAATTGCATGCAAACATTTAGAAATCAACAGTTCATTAAGGAGGTTTGCTTCAAAGTTAAGTACCAGGTATGCTACAAAAGTTTCAAGAAATAAGTTATTAGGCATACCTATCAACAATTATGTTCAATTGATAGCCATTGAAATACAAGGACAAAAAAAAGTTATGTCCCAGAAAAATAAATTTCACTCTTCCAGTCACTTGTTAGGAGCAAAGGTGCATTACCTAAAGCTATCAGGGCTGCAGACAATGCTGTGAAGTTTATCCTAGATATACTACCATCTTTGAAATCAACATAGCAGTTTTGCTTTGGCTGAAAAAACTACTTTTGGTTAGATACGTGAAGCCAATCATAAATTCCTAAAATTTTTCTCTGAGATGAGATGGTTGGATGAAGGCTATTTACAATGGCCACTATTTTGCAAACCCATCTTTAAAGAGAAATGCTTCATGAATGTAGCATGGTGAGGACAGGGGAATGACAGGGACCATTGCTAATGTAGGGGTCAATGGAAAGCTTCCCCTTCACCCTCTGAAGTTTTGCTGGAAAATCAACTCACAAAAGGCAGACTATTAGAAAAAAAAAAGGCTTACAAATTTATGAATAACATAGCATAAGGGAATCGTAGTAGAATGATTACCCAATAACCAATGAGGTACAGATGATAATATACCCATCTTTTTAGAGGAAAGGAAGATGAGAATGTGTGTATAATTTTAAGAGGGTAGTAAATGAATTTTAGGGAAATTCAATGGGCTTGAAGAATATGCAATGGCCTGGGACAAAGTCTGTTGGCCCTACAGGGCAGACGAGAGTTTGTAACAGAAGGCTGCCAGTTGTATTGACAGACTGCAGTCCTTCTTCCTGAGATATTAGTTCGGTTAATGAAAACTCAGGAAAGAAACTCTTTTTTTTTTTGTTTGTTTGTTTTTGCCTTTAGTAGTTCTGGACTTTAGGCAGATAAGGGAACTTTAGAGAACAGCTTTATTCTGTGCTATGGGAGAGACAAAGGATTGAGAGAGAGGAGCTGGAAGAGAGGGGTATGGTCAGAGAGACCCCCTGGCTTCTTCGGTTTAGCATGTCAAAGCACCATATTTTGGGAAATTGGTGTCTGAGCTTTAGCATTAAGAACAGACTCTCAGTAACTACTGGCAGTGCAAGGTCCTTTCAGTGATTACTTTTACTAATGTGAACCTAAAACATTCCAGTGAGGTAGGTAAAAACCTCAGTTAAATGAGTGGAAACAGAATTACAGAAATGTGGAGTTTTGTTTAAGTAAAGGGGAACAAAAAAACGCAATCCCATCGATTTTGATGCTGACAGTGATTGCGGTATTAGTGATGTTAACAGCTTTAACAGCGGAGCACCCAGGACCAGAAATCATTTCCGAGTCTGACGAGTGGGAAATTACAGCAGAGAATCTGGAAGAAGAATAACCAATAGATCAGGAAAAGCAATACTTAAATTCACTTCTGAGCCGAAACTGGGCATTTTGGGGGATGGGCATGGCAAACAGCAGTAGAGTTCTTTAGGAAAAAATTAGGGACGTTTTCAGCAGCTCCCGCCACCTACTATGTCCGGGTTACTGCGGGATCCACAGAATGGAAGTTGCCCGCCAACAGGAAGAATGTCTCCTCCCTCTGCAGGGCTTCCTTTCCCCCATCGAGGGCCCCTGGGGACCACAGGTCCCCAGCGGGTAGGGCGGAGGCGTGGCCTTGCGAAGGTCAGCGGAGGCCACCCAGAGCTCACAGCCTCCTGCCAGCGCGCTCTCTGTTTCTCTGCAGCCCCGAAGCTCGCGAATGTAGCAGGCGCCCCAAGCTCGGTCCTCAAGAAGCCATGGCGGAATCCAGGGGCCGTCTGTACCTTTGGATGTGCTTGGCTGCTGCGCTGGCATCTTTCCTGATGGGATTTATGGTGGGTAAGTGAACAAAACACTCTACCCCGACTCCGGGGCTCGTGATTCTCTGCAGAGATAAAGGGAGAAATCCTGGAGCTGGAAGGGATTGGGCTGTGCGCTAGCCCTGGCCGGCTGGGCTAGATATGATAAACTCTGCACATTTCAGCAAAACTAGAAACCAGATGGAATGTATTTTGGGCTTGCTAATAGATAAAGTGTGCTTGAAATTCAAATTTATTAAATGTTCACTGAGTTCACTAAAGACAACCTACAGCTGTCACTGTCTGCAGGGATGAAAAAAAATCGTTTTATTTCCAAGCAACATTAGTGAGTCAAAACTTTCAACTAATACGGGCAGCATTAAAAACAAAGCAAAACGAAACAAAGCAAAACAAAACCCTGCTCTATACGTAAATAAATATTTGTGGAATGTTCCCTATGTGTCAGGGACTAGAGATCCAGGGAAGAACAACAAAAGCCATGCCTTCATGCATAACGTGAGAAAATGAAAGAGCTTCTCTTAAATAAAACTCCTTTTAAGCATCTAAAAATTATATTACATATCAGAATTTACAGGTTTTCTGCATTTAATATAAACATTATTTTTTAAAGCTCACCATGATCTACTTGTCAGATAAAGGCTTTTTGGGGGGAAGGACAGAGGGGTGGCTTCTAGTTTTAATAAAGTCAAAGTGATTTTGTGTGTATGTGTGCATGTTTGTGTATTTTTTTTCCTTAGGCTGGTTTATTAAGCCTCTCAAAGAAACGACCACTTCTGTGCGCTATCATCAAAGTATACGGTGGAAACTGGTATCCGAAATGAAAGCTGAAAACATCAAATCATTTCTTCGGTAAGTTTATTTTACGTATTTGATCTTAAAAATCATGTTTAAAATATCACAGTGAGAAGCATATTATACCTGGTTATATGCATGAGGACAGTCTTCTCTGTGTGAAATTACATATTAGTCATCAACTTTTTTTTTTTTTTTAATGTCTCTTTACACCAGTCTTGGGGTGAAAAAGTAGGTCTTTCTTCCCTAACTTTATGTAACAAAAAGTATCTGGTTGGCTTATTGAGAGATGTTTCAACTTCATGTAACTTTGGATCTAACTGAATGTTATTCTTTGTTCATCAGTGCCTGGGTTTTAATCAGCAATTTTCTTAGATACCATATTCTGTCAGGGAAAGTTAGATGATGGTTGACTAAGTGATTTAGTGGAAAAGTGATCAAAGTGTCTGATTCTGTCTGCCAAAAGTTAAACCTTTATCCCATCTTGCAGGTATAAATTTGTTTTTTACAAATAAGACAAAATGAAACCAAAAAGAATCATTGCCATTCCTCCAGCTTCTAACCATGAAAAACAGTGGAAATTGGGGGAGTGATCATAAACTCCTTAAGAACAATGGCCATGGTATTTATTTCTGTATTCAGACTCTTTCAAATGGGTGTTATTTTTTAAAATCAGCTTTAGTGAAGTATAATTTACATAAAATAAACTGCATCCCTATAAAGCCTACAATTTGAGAGTTATGACAGACGTATGCTATGCTGAACAAACCACCTCCTCCATCATGCTACAAAAATATTCCATTATGCCCTTTGCAGTTTATTCCCCATCCCCCTCCATCTCTGTCACTGGGCAATCACTAACCAATTTTATATCACTGGAGATTCATTTGCATTTTCTAGAATCTTATTTAAATGGAATCATATAGTATATGTTCTTTTGTATCTAGCTTCTTTTACTCAGAATAATGATTTTGAGATTCATCTAGATTGTTGCATGCATTAGTAGTTCATTATTTTTATTGCAGACTAGAATTCCATTGTATGGATATATTGCAATGTATAATTGATGGAAATTTGGGTTGATTATAGTTTTTGACTATTGTGAATAAAGCTGCTATGAACAGATGTTTACAAGTCTTTCTGTGGATATGTGGTTTATTTCTCTTGAAATGGTTGAGTTTGATGATAAGCATAAGTTTAACTTTTTAAGAAAATGCCTAAGATAAGTGAAAAGTGGTTGCATCATTTTGCATTTCTACCTCAAAATAAGGAAATCAGTATTCCAAAGAGATATGTGCACTCTGATATTTACCACAGCAATATTCACAATAGCCAAGATACCAAATCAACCTGATGATCAACTTCCATCAACAAATATTATGGTGTATATACAGGATGGATTATTACTCAGCATAAAAAAGAAAGAAATCCTATCATTTGTAGCAAAATGAATGGAACTAAATGTCATTATATTAAGTGAAATAAGCCAGGCACAGAAAGACACATATTGCATGATCTAACTCATATGTGGGAGCTAAAAAAAAATTGATCTCATGGAGACAGAGAATAGAATGATGGTTACCAGAAACTAGAAGGGTAGTGAGGAGGGCAGACAATACTGAGGGGTTGGTTCAATGGGTACAAAAATACAGTTAGATAGAAGGAATAAGATCTAGTATTACATAGCACAATAGGGCAACTATAGTTAACAATAATTTATTGTATATTTCAAAATAACTAGAGTGGATTTGAAATGTTCCAAACTCAAAGAAATGATAAATGTTTGAGGTGATAGATATCCTAACTACTCTGATTTGATCATTACTTATTGTATGCTTGTATCAAGATATCACATATACCCTATAAATGTGTACAAGTAGTAGGTAGCCATAAAATTTAAAAATAAATAATTTTAGAAGTCTATTCACGGCTTTGGCTTATTTTGTATTTAGATATAAGTTGTTTTCCCCCTGTGGAGTTTTTTGTTTGTTGTTGATGTTGTTGTTTTGAGACAGAGTCTCACTCCATCACCCAGGCTGGAGTACAGTGGTGCAATCTCAGCTCACTGCAACCTCCATGTCCTAGGCTCAAGGGATTCTCCCACCTCAGCCTCCTGAGTAGCTGGGACTACAGACATGCATCACCACACCCAGCTAATTTTTTTATTTTTGTTTATTTTATTTATTTTGTTGTTGTTGTTGTTGTTGTTGGTAGAGACAGGGTCTCATTATTTTGCCCAGGCTGGTCTCGAACTCATGAGCTCAAGTGACATACCCACCTCACCCTCCCACAGTGCTAGGATTACAAGCATAGGCCACCATCCCCAACCCTCCTATGGAGATTTTAGAGTTCTTTATATAGAGTTGACTCTTGAGTAATGTGGGCATAGGGTGCTGACCCCCCATGCAGTCAAAAATCCACACATAACTTTTAATTCCCCCAAAACTTAACTATTAATACCCTACTAGTGACCTTAGCAATAACATAGACAATTAATATGTATTTTGTATATGTATTATATGCTGTATTCTTACAATAAAGTAAGCTAGAGAAAAGAAAATGATTTTAAGAAAATCATAAGAAAGAGAAAAAGCATTTACTATTCATTAAGTGAGTGTAGATTTTCATGAAGGTCTTCATCCAGTCTTCACATTGAGTAGGCTGAGGAGGAGGAGGAAGAGGAGGGGTTGGTCTTGCTGTCTCAAGGATGGCAGAGGCAGAGAAGGTAGAGAAGGGAGTCAGGAAAGGCAGTCACATTCCATTTAATTCTTAGACATCATGTATGTTTTTTGCTTTTTCTTTTCTCTAAAAATATTTTTATACACTACCAGTTCTTCTTCCATCATTTGCTTTAGTTTTAGTGCCTATATCATAGAAAGGACCGTGTTGTAAAAGAAGTCAAAAGCAGTCTTGAATAATGGAAACCCTTCTGCCAGATTGTCTAATATCATCTTGTTTTCTGGCATTGCTTCTTCTGTGTCTTCTTCCTCATCACCTGGTACTGGTTTAGAAGTATTCATCTCCATCAAATCGTCTTCTGTTAATTTTTCTGGTGTCTACTAACTTTTGAATTTTTCCAAGATTACTATCATGAAACCCTTCATCCCTCAACTTTTTTTTTTTTTTTTTTTTTTTTTTTTTTTTTTGCCATATTCACAATCTCTTTCATGATTACCTTGTTTGGCTCTGTCATCAATCCTGTGAAGTCATGTCAACATCTGCACACAGTTTTCTTTAGCAGGAATTTGTTGTGTTGGGCTTGATGGCTTTCACAGCATTTTCTATAACAATGATGGCATCTTCAATAATGTAATTTTTTTCAGAATTTCATGAAGTTCTGTCAGGGTTCTCTTCCGTAGTATTGACAGTCCTTTCCATAGAGTGCAGTGAGCCTTAAAATTCTTATTATGACCCCTTGATCTAGGGGGCAAATTAGAGAGATGTGTTTGGGGGTAAGTAGACTACTTGATCTCAGGGTTTCTGGGTAGCCAGAGGTGTCTTCCAATACCAAAAGAATTTTAAAAGGCAATCCCTTCCTGGCAAGGTATTTCATGACTGCAGGAACAAAGTATGGGTGGAATCAATCTAGAACATAGGTTTCTGTTGTCCAGGCCTTCTTGTTGTACAAACAAAAGACTGAAAGCTGGTGTTTATCTTTTCCATTCAAGGCTTGGGGGTTAA
This sequence comes from Homo sapiens, assembly GCF_000001405.40. Taxonomy (NCBI): domain Eukaryota; kingdom Metazoa; phylum Chordata; class Mammalia; order Primates; family Hominidae; genus Homo; species Homo sapiens. The sequence goes on from NW_019805497.1 coordinate 45,418, forward strand.
CAGCTTCATAGATAAGGGCAGTCCTTATCATAAACCCAAGTGCATTTGCACAAAACAGTAGAATTCGCCTATCCCTTCCTGCCTTAAATCTCAGTGCTTACATCTCTTCCTTACTCATAAATACCCTTTGTAGCATCCCCCTCTGCCCCCAGGATAGGGCATTTTCATTTGCATTAAAAAACCTTTTCAGGCAGATATGCTTTCTCCTCAGTAATTTTCTTAATGTCATCTGAAGACTTGTCTACTGCCTCTTGGTGAGCAGAAGCTGCTCCTCCTCTTATCTCGACACTTTAAGTTAAACTTCTTTCTAAATGTATCAAACCATCTTTTGCAGGCATACTATTCTCCACCTTTACCTTCCTTTTGCTTTAAATTATCATAGAATGACTTTGCTTTTTCTCAAATCACATTAATTAGAGTCTATAGATATGCCTTTCTTATAACAATCCTACACCCACATAAAAGCTACATTTTCAATACAAGAAAAAAAGGTAATTTGCAAAAGAACAAAGTTTTCACATTTGCAGGCATAGCTGCCATGACAGCTTCACAAACTTTTCCTTTTTTTTTTTTTTTTTAACAATAGTCCTTATGCTGGATTTATTTTGAAAATGGAGGGCAATCACAGCTGCATACCTCAGTCTACGGTATACCAAGCAATTCAACCTTTTCTTATAATGTATCATTAGTGGCACTTTGTATGGATCCCACGGTGTTATTCAAGGTTTACAGTATTGTACTAAACATGGTAAGAACTACATGAGAACCATGGGAGATCATTTTTTAAACTGCCATAAGCAATTTACTGGAGAAACAAACTGTTCAGGTAGTGATGATTAGGGAGATGATTAATATCACACAGTGGTTTAAGCAGATAGTCACCTCACAAGCTCACGGCAAGAGCAATAAGCTGTTGCTACAAAAGTATTACTGTAGTACACAATGTATTACAGTTAATTTTACATAATTATGATTTTATATTGTATCTTTATGTTTGTTTACATTTCTCTAGACTGCAAATGGCACCATGTAGTCTGTAACTGTATGCCTACGTTTTGATACATTTTAACTTTTTATAATAGATTCATGTTATTTTAAAACAGTAAATGATAAAATACTTTTACATGTACTTCATGCATTCGTGACAAACCTCTTCTTTTTTTTTTAATATTTCTAGGCTATGTGGTTCATTTATGAGTTTTTTTTAAATTGCTGCAAATCTCAAAAAAATTTTCCAATATATTTATTGAAAAAAATTCATATATAAGTGGACCCATGTTGTTCAAACCTATGTTTCAAGGGTCAACTCTATTCTAGATATAAGTCTTTTGTTGGAAATGCAGTGAACAAATATTTTTTCCCAGTCTGTAATTTGTCTATTTGCCCACCCTCATTTGCAGATCAGAAGTTAAAACCTTATTTTGATGAGGTTTAATTTATCAATTTTTCTCTTTTTGGATCATGCTTTTGGGTTCATATCTAAGAACTCTTTGATCTGGACTTTGACCAATTTTGTCTTCTTTTTTCCCCCAGAGATTTATAATTTACCTTTTACATTAAAGTTTCTGACCTATTTTGAGTTATTTTGTGCATAAAGGTGTAAGGTTTAGGTTGAGTTTATTCTTTTGCTTGAGAATGGCCAACTGCTCTATCACCATTTGTTAAAATGTTATCCTTCTTTCATTTAATTGCTTTTGCACCTTTGTTAAAAATTGGTTGGGCGTATTTGTGTGAGTCTATTTCTAGATTCTCTCTTTTGTAGAGACAGAGTCTTATTCTGTTTCTGGGTTTTATATTCTGCCCTATTTATCCAGTACCATACTGTCCTGATTATTAAAGTGACATAGTAGATTTTAACAAAACATAGAATGATTTCTCTTACCTTATTCTTTTAAACTATTATTGTAGCTATACTATATCCCTTACCTTTTCATTTAAAATATATAATAAACACATATTTGTCTAAAAAACTATTGGTGGAGCTTTGATAGGAATTACATTAATCCTATAGAGCTATTTGGGAATTCTTGACATTTTTGCTATGTCCAGTCTTCTATTACATGAACGTGGTATGTTTCCAATTGTAGATCATCTTTCTTTTATCAGCATTTTGTAATTTGCATTAAGCAGATGCTTTACATGCTTTGTTAGATTTGCATCTTTCATTTTCTTTGGAGCAAATGCAAATTATATTGTGTTTTAATTTCAATTTCCACATACTCTGTTGTTAGCATATAGAAATACTGTTGTGTTTGTGTATTGATGTTGCATCCTGTGGCCTTGCTGAACTCTAAGAAGGTTTTGTTTGTTTGTTTGTTTTGGTTTTGGGGGGGTTTTCTGAGACAGAGTCTTGCCATATTTCCCAGGCTGGTTTCAAACTCCTGGAGTTAAGCGATCCTCCCACCTAGGCCTCCCAGAGTTCTGGGATTACAAATGTGAGCCACTGGACTTGGCTGGAAGGTGGGAAAGAGTTTGGTTTGTTTGTTTGTTTTGGTTTGTTTCTTGTAGATTCATTGAAATTTTCTATGTAGACAATAATGTCATCTTCAAAAAGGGAACATTTCATTTCTTTTTTCTTTCTAACCTGTATGCCTTTTACTTTTTTAAGAAAAATTGCCTCTTTGTGCTGACTGGAAACTCCATTACTCTGTTGAATAAGAGTAGTAAGAGTGGACATTCTTTTCTTTTTTCTAATCTTAAGGAGAAAGATTTAGTTTCACCATTAAGTATGATGTAGCTGTCGTTATTTTGTTGATGCTCTTTGTCAAGTTAAGAAAGCTCTCCTCTATTCCAAGACTGCTGAGGGTTTTTATCATGAATGGGTGTTGAATTTTGTCAAGCGCTTTTTCTGTATCAATTAATATGATCATATGATTTTTCTTTTTTAGCTGGTCGGTAGGGTAATTCCTTTATTTCTTCACTAATTTGGGAGGGGGTCAAATTTAATCCAGAGGTATGTTATAGTTTTCTCCACGAATGCGAAATTGTCTATTTGTCCCATTAACTTGCTCAGTTTTTACTCTATGTATTCTGAGGCTCATTCATTAGGCATATACACATGGACGTTGCTATGTTTTCAAAACAGAATGACCTTTTATTTTTATGAAATGTGCTTAGTTATCTTTAGTAATAATCTTTTTAAGTCTATTTTATTTCATATGAATGGAGCCACGTCAGCCTTCTAATACTTATGTTTATATACGATGTCTTCTTCCATCTACTTACTTTTAACTATCACTTTCATTAGAATTAAAATGTACCCTCTATAGAGAGAACACAGTTGTCATTTGCTGTTTTATCCATTTTTGTAATCTTAATTTAAGTATGCCCTCTGTGGGCCGCATATAATAGATATTTGCTTTTTTATCCACTCTGGTAACCTCTGCCTTGTGAGTATTTAGTCCATTAACATATAATATAGTTATTGATTGATATAATTAAACTTAAGTCTGCCACTTTTTGGTTTGTTTTCTGTTTTCTTTCTGTACCTTTACTCATTTTCTGACTTTTTGATAGTGGGGAAAATATATGAAATTTTATTTTATTTCAATTTATCTTTTGGCTATACCTCTTTGGCTATACTTTTTAGTGGATACTCTAAAGGTTATATTATACATCTGTAATGTTTCACTGTATTCTTAAATTTACTACTGTGTCACTTAATACAAAATGGAGAAACTCACATTTCTTTATGTCCATTTACTCTCTCCCCCACCATCCTTTATAAAGTAGCTGTCATATGTATTATACATACATGAAATATAAACCTCAAAAAATAATGTTATATTAATGTTATATTTTTTCTTTGAACATGTATATGTATTGTAAACCAATTAAAGTTAAAATTAGTATTTCATGTTTCTTAGGTATTTATCGTTTTTGATGCTTTTCATTTGTTTCTGAAGATTTAGGTTGCCTTGTGCTATTTCTGTTGAGTCTGAATAACTTCCTTAAGTATTTCCTGTAATGTGGAGTCTGATGGTGACAAATTCTTAGTTTTTCTTCACCCATAAAATTCTTTACTTCAACTTTATTCTCCAAACATATTTTTCCTGGACATAGAATTCTGGGTTGACTCCGCTAATACACATGAAGTTTTTAGAACTTTAAATGTTTCACTGTCTTCTAGCTGCTATGTCATCTGATGAGAAGTTTACAGTCATTAAATCATGTAACGTCTTATTTTTGTCTTTGATTTTCAGCAGTTTTACTATGTGTCTAGGCATAGTTTTCTTTAAATTTAGCCTGTTTAGGCTCTCTGAGCTTCTTGACAATGTAAATTTATGTCTTCTATTAATTTAGAAAGGTCTTGTTTACTATTTCTTAAAATATCTTTCTGTACCATTCTTTCTCCTCTTCTCTTTTAATACTCCAGTTAAACCCTACAGACAGATACACTGAGCGAAGTACATACACTACAGTTAACAGACAATCCCTGACTTATGATGGTTTGATTTAGAATTTTTCAACTTTATGATGGATTTATCAGGGTATTAAATGCATTTTCAATTTAGTAATATGTTTGACTTTCAATGCGTTTATAGGAACATAACCTCACCATAAGTTGAGTAGTATCTCTATTTTCTACCCATCTGTGCTGTTGATGAGATCACAAGGTTCCATGTTAGTGTCTATGGATGAACTCGAGTGAGCTATTGTAATGAGGAATAAATCAGCTATAATGTTCTTATTAAATTTCAGCTTATGTATTATCAAGGCACATCAGATATCAAGAGATTAGTTCAAAATGTCTGTTGTGAGGTGCTTTTTTGATGATACAGGAAAAGAATGAGTAGGAATGAACATCACTTGAAGAGAGATACACATACAAAAATTACACACCAAGAATGATGACAAGAACAGGGATAGAGGGAAATACACCATATTAGGAGCCCCCAACTTTAATGAATGAAGAGGCATGACTCAAAGTTTTGTAGATGACAGTACATACCTAGAAGGTGTAGTGGGTGGTGACTTTTGTTGTAAGCTTCAAAAAAGCTGTTAGTTTTTAAAGAAGATAAAAGAGATATATTTGAAAGAGCCAGTGGAGAGTAAGAAGGCCTCCTAGCTGAATTTTAGCCATGAGCTATATGGGATCATGGAAAATAAAACAGCCGGCATGTGAGCAGGGTCCTCAGAGGAAACCAGTTAAGACAAGGAGGTTGGCTGGGCACGTTGGCTCATGCCTGTAATCCCTGCACTTTGGGAGGCCAAGGAGAGTGGATCACCTGAGGTCAGGAATTCAAAACCAGCCTGTCCAACATAATGAAACCCCACCTCTATTAAAAATACAAAAAATTAGCTGGGCATTGTGGCATGCACCTGTAATCCCAGCTACTCAGGAGGCTGAGGCAGGAGAATTGCTTGAACCTGGGAGGCGGAGGTTGCAGTAAGTCGAGATTGTACCACTGCACTCCAGCCTGGGCAACAAGAGCAAAACTCCATTAAAAAAAAAAAAAAACGGAAAAGAAAGACAAGGAGGTCAAGGAAACATTCAGAGAAGGTGCTGAAGATATAAGCGAATAGTTGATTGCAGAGCTAAAGGGTTAATGAACACAGCAGAAGAGTTTAGAAGGCAAAGGAGGGCTTGAAGAGTGGGTTAAAGGGCTTAAATGTGGGAACAATTGTATTTCTCCCAGCCACTTTCTTTTTAACAGAGCCTCAACTTTGAGTGTTCTCCCTCTCTCAGGAGGGTATGTGTTCAGTAAAGGTTACCTTCCTCCCAGCCCAGGAATCTCTTGATTAGTCCATAAGCCAATCATTACCCTCCCTCTAGCAATGGTTGATTTGAGAAGGGGTAAATGACCCTATTTTGCCTAATGAAATGGGAGAAAAACTTGGCTAAGATCTTCTAGAAAAATGTTCCTTTGTTAAACACAAAAGAAGGAATAGTTGTTCTAGTTTGTACTTGTTTCTCCTGAAGTTACTGGGTGAATATGTATGCCTGGCGCTGTAATGCCCATCTTGGGACCATACAGAGAAACCCTGATATAAAATAAAGGATGTTCTACCTTCCTACTCTTTTTCTGTACTTCTCTATTTCATTTCAGGGGGTTCTTGAAAAGATGGGAGGCAAAAAAGTTCATGGCTAATCCTCCCTCCTAATTTAAGGAAATATATATATTTTTTCTAATTGCAAGAATCATATCTGCTCTATGTAGAAACAAAAATAATGAATTGTATAAAGTAGAAATTAAATATCTCTAGCTGTTTTGCTTTTTTATTCCTATACATATAAAATAACTTCTGTCTGAACACATTTGTACTTTTAAAAAATAAATATGGTAAGAAATTAAACATCTGATACCTGCAGTTTTCATTTTCTGATATAGAGAAAGACATCTTCTGAGAGAAGATGATGCTTGAAGAGTCCTTATGGATGATTAATAGTTTGCAGATGAGAAAGGAGAGTGATTAGAAGTGGTGATAGAGGGAGATTCAGGTAGATGGGACAATATTTTTGGTTGAGATAAGACATTGTGCAAAGGCTAAAAGGTATTAAAGATCATAATCATTTTATGAGAAAAATAAGTATACTCAGTGACAGAGAGTAGAGGAATTTATAAGAGAGTGATGTGGAATTAACCTGAAAAGACAGAAGACAGGACCTAACCTAAAAGTGCTTTAGATGCCATGTTGGAGTGTGGACTTTCTAATGCAGGGTACAGGGAGTTGTAGAAGAGTTTTAAGCACATGGGTAATAACAGCAGATGAATTATTTAGAAATATCACTATTTCTCAGGATCGGGTAACTACAATTTTGGATTCCAGTTCCAGCATTTATTAGCTGTAAAATTATGAGTAGATTATTCAGTCACTCTGTCAGTCTCCTCATTTGCAAAATGGGGATGACAGAAGAAGGATTGTGATGATTAAATGAGAAAACACATGTGAAAGTGAATGTAGAGTGCTTGTCATACAACAGGTTTTCAATACATGTTAATTTCCTTCTACTGCTGTATATTTTGTGGCTGTCATCCGGTTAACTAAAAAAAAAAAAAAATTAAAAAAGGGTTTATTTTTGTTCTACTGATGGTGGGGGAGTTTAATTTTTTTTTTTTTTTTTTTTTTTTTTTTTTTTTGTGATGTAGTCTCACTCTGTCACCCAGGCTGGAGTGCATTGGCATGATCTCGGCTCACTGCAACCTCCGCCTCCCAGATTCAAGCAATTCTCCTGCCTCAGTCTCCCAAGTAGCTGGGATTACAAGCACCCGCCACGACGCCTGGCTAATTTTTTGTATTTTTGGTAGATACGGGGTAGTTCAAGACCATGTTGGCCAGGCTGGTCTTGAACTCCTGACCTCAGTTGATCCACCCTCCTCGGCCTCCCAAAGTGCTGGGATTACAGGTGTGAGCCACCATGCCTGGCCAGGGACTTTAAAAATATTATTCACCCCAAGTAAAATAAATCTCACTAAGAACTATGTTTGTGGGGTCACTTAAATGTTACAACTCATTTACATCCAAAACCAAGAGAACACTGCCCAAATTAAATTCAGCAAGCCTGTACATTTTGGGTAAAAGGCAAGAACTAAGCACTAGGGGATATGAAAAATAAAAATGCATGGACTTTGAGATCAATGAGATAAATAAGCAACTGCATACATGATACAATCAACAGTAGAAATATATAAGATAAACATGGAAGTGCCCAAGTGGTCCCTGCGAGAGGTTAAGATCTATTTTTTTTTTCCAAAATGTCTCTGTTCTCTGACAAACAGCAAAAAGGAACATTATTGGTATAGAAGTATGACATTCTTCCAGGGTGTCATCTCATATCTGAGCCTTTGCTGATTGTATCTACCATGAAATGTGTTCTTTTCTGAGGAAGCATAATATGAAAACTGCAGTTGTACACAAATAACTTAAAAATTGGCCTATCTAGAAACTGGTAGCATTAGCTGTGTTTCTTTTATCTGTCATATAGGAATGACAACTTAATGCCCAATGCATAAGTAGTGCATTTAGAATAGTTCTTAGGCACATCGTCTGAGCATAGTCTTTAATGCCCTCTTATGTTTTATTTTCATTTTAGTTCTTTTACAAAGCTTCCTCATCTGGCAGGAACAGAACAAAATTTCTTGCTTGCCAAGAAAATCCAAACCCAGTGGAAGAAATTTGGACTAGATTCAGCCAAGTTGGTTCATTATGATGTCCTCTTATCTTACCCCAATGAGACAAATGCCAACTATATATCGATTGTGGATGAACATGAAACTGAGGTATGTGAAATTGTTGGTACTTTTTATATTTTGCAATCCGACCGTTTTATGTGGATTGTAATGTAGGGTCAAGTAAAAGTAGAAATTTGTTAATAGTGAATTATTCAGTATCCACTATGTGTTCGACATGGTGTTAAGTCCTGAGGCCAGAATAAGACTAAGGCATGGTTCCTTTGCCTAAGTAAGTTGAGGCAGACAATGGAATACTTCAGACCTCAAATTAGTATGGTAAGTGCTATGAAGATTATGATTAGAATTCATTATTTACCCAGAAAAGGGTCACTCAGCCCAGCCTGGGAGTTAGACAATGTTTCCTGAAGTCTTGACACGTGAGTCATGAAAGGACATAGGAGTTAACCATGTGACAAAATAAGCTAAGAAAATTCTCAACAAAAGACAAAATATTGGCAAATGCTTGGAGGCATATACTAGCCTAGTTTTATTGGGAGAATGTAATGATTTTCTGTATTTCAAAAGTGTAAAATATGAAGTAGGCCACGATATGAGATAAACCAGTAAATATGTTCTGGGAACAGATCATAGAAGGGCGTGTATGCTGTCCTAGGGAGCTTAAACTTCAACTTCAGTTCACGGGAGCCAATGACAAGTCCTGAGCAGGGGAAGGATGTGGCTAGAGGGGCATTTTAGATAGACAACGTCCTCTATGGATCACACCTAGGCTAAGCAACGGGTTAAAGTTGTTGTCTTAAGACAATAGTCCAGGTAAAAGATAATAAAGTTTTAAATTAGGATGTTAGTAGGAATGAGGATGAGGGATGGATTTCAGAAATAGTAAGGAAATGTATTAGCAGGACTTGATTAGTGATTGACTTGGGGAAGGAGGGGAAGATAGAGTTCAGGATGACTCCGAGACTGTCTGGTGTGGGTGGCTAATGACTGAAGCTATTAATAGAGGTAGGAAATGCAGATCAAAAGCAGGCCCAGGGTGAGAGATGATAAATTTGAATTTTAACATGTTGAGTTTGGACATCCAGGATGAAATAACCACCAAACATTTAAATATATGAATCTGAAAAGGTAAGCATCATAAGCATATTAGCTATTGGTAAAATTCTGATACTTAATGAAGTGTCGCAGGGAGGGAGTACAGAGGCAAGCAATGGGCTGGGGATAAAACATGGGGAAATATTATTTAAATAAAGATGAAAGAAAAGGAGCCCACAAAGGAAGCTGAAAAGGCATAGTCAAAAAAAAGAGGATCACCAAAGTGCCACCTTTGAAGCTCTGCTGTTACACTTTATAAGGAAACTTTTGGTTACCTGGGATTGCATGCATTTATAAAAGTTTCTATTGTTAGGAAGACAATAATAATGATAAGGCTCTTTCTCATTGTTGTCAGTGTAATTTATCTATTACAGAACCTTGTTCCAGGATGCTTAATCTGAAGTATATACTTGGAGGCAAAATGAATTATATCTTAATAATAATCTGGAATTTTTCTAACTTGACATATTTTAATTCTTGCTAGATTTTCAAAACATCATACCTTGAACCACCACCAGATGGCTATGAGAATGTTACAAATATTGTGCCACCATATAATGCTTTCTCAGCCCAAGGCATGCCAGAGGTAAAATAAAATACTTTTGTAATCCAAGTCTTTAAATGGTTCTTTTGCTATGTAAAACCTGTATGGAGGACTAAAACCAAGGAAATTAGGTGAATCATTCATGCGGGTTCCTTGTTTGATATTCAGTACTATGAAAACCTCATCCCTCAAATTAAAAAAATTACAATAAAATAAAATAGAAAAGAACACCAGAGAAAAAAGAAACAAAACAAATACATTAAAAACTGACCCTGCTGAAGCAGTTGCCACTCTCTGAAATAACAAACTGCTGAACATGCCTTTCAGTGAGGCAGTAGGTGTTTTTTTGTTTGTTTGTTTTTGTTTTTGTTTCGTTTTGTTTTTTTGAGACAGAGTTTCGCTCTTGTCACCCAGGCTGGAGTGCAGTGGCACAATCTCGGCTCCCTGCAACCTCTGCCTCCGAGGTTCAAGCAATTCTCTTGCCTCAGCCTCCCGCGTAGCTGGGACCACAGGTGCATGCCGCCACATCCTGCTAATTTTGTATTTTTTTTTAGTGGAGACGGGGTTTCTCTATGTTGGTCAGGCTAGTCTCGAACTCCCGACCTCAGGTGATCTGCTTGCCTCAGCCTCCCAAAGTGCTGGGATTACAGGCGTGAGCTACCGCTTCCGCCCAGCAGTAGGTGTTTTTACAAGCTTCTTTCCATTTTTCATAATTTGAATATTTTATGGATTCATAGATAGGATTTTATAGATCATACCATAGAGGTTCTTAAATTAATGCAATGGTTGGAAATTAAATAAATATAGTTAGGATCTTTAAAATGACATTTATTTACTCTATTCCCTGTGGCTTTGTATACACTGATGATTTCTTCAACACAGGACATGCTGTTTAGATATGTCTGGCTGGGTGTGGTGGCTCACACCTGTAATCCCAGCACTTTAGGAGGTTGAGGCGGGCAGATCTTTGGAGGTCAGGAGTTCAAGACCAGACTGGCCAACATGGTGAAACCCATCTCTACTGTTAAAAAATACAAAAATTATCTGGGCATGGTGGCGCATGTCTGTAATCACAGCTACTCTGGCAGCTGAGGCAGAATCACTTGAACTCAGAAGGTGGAGGAGGTTGCAGTGAGCCGAGGGAGTGCTACTGCACTCCAGCCTGGGTGACAGTGAAATTCCGTCTCAAAAATAATAAATAAATAAATAACTCTTATACATTGTCGTTTTTTAAACTTTTCAGGATTTTAAAAGATTCTCTAATGAATTCTGCATAATTACTGTGGGTCTGTTTATTACTCCCCAAATAAAGAAAGGAAACACTTTTGATGATGTAGTATTGTGAAGCAAACTTATTTTTTGTTTTTTTTTTTCTTTAATTTTAGCAGTATTATATATATTTTCTTTTCCCTATAGGGAGATCTTGTATATGTGAACTATGCTCGCACTGAAGACTTTTTCAAACTAGAAAGAGAGATGGGCATCAACTGTACTGGGAAGATTGTTATTGCAAGATATGGAAAAATCTTCAGAGGAAATAAAGTACAGTATTATTTGTTTTTCTACAGAGAATGAGAGGATATATATATTCTGTAAATGTAAATGACCAACTTGCTTCTCTGTTTCCAAATTGCTTTCAAACATTTCTTTTCTTTTTTTCTTCCTATTTGCCATGGGTACACGGAAACTCATGTTTTTATGTTTTCTTACATACCTGGAAAAGGAGATTATTTTGAATCATTTTTATTATAAAAGTAATATTTGCTTTTAGAAATTTAATTGAAGGAAATTTATATAAAGTAAAAAATGAAAAGCTTCTCTGCATTACCCACTTCATTATTCAGATATAATCAATCTTAATAGCTTTTTTCAAACCTAATTCTGTGACATATAAATACATCTGTCCCTATATGTCCATTTTACATATATTTATTTATTTACTTTTACATTGTATATTATAAGACTTTATTTTTTTTCATTCAGCCATGACTCATATTCTTCATGTCCACATGTTGAGAGTTATGTAATACATTGGTTAAGAGTATAGAACCCTAGATCCATATCACCTGGGTTCTTGTCTAGTCTGGCTCCTATTCTTTCTAGATCTTTTACTGTGAGCATGTTACTTAACTTCTCTGTTGCAAAGTTTCCTCACATATAAAATGCGAATGACGAGGGCACCAATCTCATAGAGTCCTTATTGAATGACTTTGTTTGAAAGCACTTAGGAAAGTGGCTGGTACTTAGTAATTTCTATATAACTGCTTATTAATTACCTCAGTATTTTAAATGATGGCATCATATTTCACAGAATTGATAAGCCATTTATTTAACCATTCCGCTACTGACGATGTTTGTCTCATCTTGAATTTGTTACTATTACAAATAATTTAATTGTGAACATCTTTGTCCATATATGCTCCAGAAATTTGTGTGAAGATTATTGTAGTATAGATTCATAGAAATTAAATGGCTAAATAATAGTGTATATTCTTTCAAAATTTTGATAGACATCATCAATTTTCCTTCAAAAAGTTGTGACAGATTATACTCTTAGTGATATAACAGGGTGTTCTCTAAATATTGGAATGCATTTTTATGAATCAAGACTGTTATCCATCTTCTGCTACAATACTTTTGGTGAAGAAGAATTTAGTATCTCACAGGGTACATTTTCCTATTTTTGGCCAGTTTGGATTGTTAGAAAGATGTTTACAAAAACCCTGGGCTGTTTTTCACAAATATGACTGCTCTGCATACAATTTTAAATGAGTTTAGTTCCATAAATATTTGTAGAATGCTTACTCTATGATGTGCGAGATTTTACAGGGCAGTAGTTTAAAATTAAGAACACATGGTTCAAGTTTTCAAAAACACCCTCAGCCTAATAGGAGAGATAGATATTTAATAGATGTTTTAATACATTAAGAGCTATCCTATAATATAGAAAATATAGAACTACAAAGAAGGGACATGAATTCTACAGTTGCAGGTTGTAATAGGAATGTTTCACAGAAGAAATGATAACTCGTTTAGATTTCCATGGAATAATGGAAGTCTGTTAGGTCTAATAGGTGGGAAATTGTGTTCAAAGCCAAGAGAACTGAATGTGTAATTGTATGGTAAAAGGCAGTGTCTAAATATCCTTCCATTATTAAATTAATGTCTTTCTTATATGAATAAGCCAACCATTTGCCATATCTGCATTATGAATTGCACATTGCCCCTGCAGGTTAAAAATGCCATGTTAGCAGGAGCCATAGGAATCATCTTGTACTCAGATCCAGCTGACTACTTTGCTCCTGAGGTACAGCCATATCCCAAAGGATGGAATCTTCCTGGAACTGCAGCCCAGAGAGGAAATGTGTTAAATTTGAATGGTGCTGGTGACCCACTCACTCCAGGCTATCCAGCAAAAGGTAAGGGATGAGCCTATCAGTCCACCAATTTTGCAAAAATACTCCTTGCCCTTTTAGAAGGAATACAAGCAAGCATGTTCAGAATAATATTAAACTAAAATTGAGTACACTTATATCATTTTGGATTACTGCTGCTAGGAATTTTAAAACATTTGCTCTTGTATTATTTTAGTTTTAAATTTTCATGAGATGTCGGCATGGGGAGTAAACACTCAGTTCATACTCTCCTTCTTCCTTTATTAGAGTTCAGAAATACTGATCCTCATACCTAAAGTAATGCTCCTTTTAACAAATGACAATTTAGGTTTGCTGAATTACCGATAGATTGTATTTTTAAAAATACAATAGATAGATTGAATTATCGATAGATTGTATTTTTGAATTACATTTTTTAAAAAAATGAGTTTTTGTGTTATTTAAAACATAAAATTGGAAGTTTTACATATGTGAAATGATTTCTACAATCAAAATAATTAACATACCCATTATCTCAAAAAAGCTTCCTCTCGTCTCTTTATATTCCCACCCTCCCAACTCTTCCTTCCCACTTCATCCAATCCCTAGGCAACCATTCATCTTGGTTTCTGCTGTCAGCATGATTATTTTGAGATCTGTCCATGTTGGCATCTTTGTCAATAGTTTTTCTTTCTTTTGCTGAGTAGTATTCCCTTGAATGGCTATAGCACAGTTTATTCCTTTACTTGTAGATGGACATTTGGATTGCTTTCAGTGTGGGGGCTATTACAGATAAAGGTGTAATGAACAGTTGTTGTACAAGACCTTGTATGTACATGTTCTTTTATTTCTCTTTGGGAAATACTTGGAAGTGAAATGCCTGAATATTATGGTTAGTTGGATATTTAACTTTTACAGAAATTTTAAAATTGTTTTCTGAAGTTGTTTCACTTTATATTTCAACAGCAATGTATGAGTGTTCTATTTGCTATGTCCTCACCAACATTTAGTATGTCAGTCTTTTCAATTCTACATTCTAACAGATGCATACAACTTCCAGGTTACAACTCTTCTATTTTCAAAACGTTTTGTCTAATTTTGGTCCTTTCCATATGAGTTTTAGCACTAATTTACAATTGCCACCAAAAAGCCTCCTGGGAGTTTGATTGAGATTGAATGAAATCTATAAATCAATTTGGGGAGAATTGGCAATATTTGGGAGAATTGAATTAACAATATTGAATTTTCTGATCCATAAATAAAATACAACTTTGCAGTCTTTAATTTCTTTCAGCAGAGTTTTATAGTTTCACTGTATGAATCACACATACCTTTTGTCAGATTTATCCACAAACATTTCATAGTTTTATGCTATTGTAAAGTTTCAATACCAATTTTTCTTTACTAGGAAATGAAAGCATTATTCTATTTCTAGAAGAAATACATTGGTCTTGTATCCTGCAAACTTGTTAAACCCATCGATTCTGCTAGGTTTTTGTAGCTTCTATCAGCATTTTTACATACATGATTATGTCATCTGCAAATGAAGATAATTTTATTTCTTGGCTTTCAATCTACATGCCCTTCCTTCCTCTCTCTCTCTCTCTCTCTCTCTGTCTCTCTCTCTCTTTCTTTCTTTCTCTCTTTCTTCTTTTTGCTTTATTGTACTGGCTAGACCCTCCAGGACATTTTTTTTCTTTCTTTTTTGTATATACATTTTATAGAGGTACTCCAGTACAATGTTGAATAGAAGTTGTTACAACAGACATACTTGCTTTTTATTTCTGTTCCAACAGGGAAAGTATCCAGTCTTTCTCTGTTAAATATTATGTTAGCTCTAGGTTTTTTATACATTCCCTTTGTCACAATGAGGAAGTTTACTTCTATCCTAATATACTGGGCGTTTTCATTAGAAATATATGTTGGATGTTGCCAAATGTTTTTTCTGTGCACATAGAGATGATCATATGTTATCATTTACTTTTGTTAAATTATATGATGTTTTTAATGTTAATCCAACCCTGTCATCCTAAAATAAATCCCATTTGGTGACAATGTATTATCCTTTTATATATTGTTGAATTTTTGATATATTTTTCTTAAGAATGTTTCTGTCTATGGTCATAAGGGATGTTAACCTGTAGATTTAGTTTCTTGTAATATCTTTGTGTCATTTGGTATCAAAGAAATGCTGGCCTCTTAGCATGAGTTGGGAACCATTTCATCTTCACTTTTTTGCAAGAGTTTATAAAGAATGGGTTCAATGTTGTCTATAAATATTTGGTAGAATTCTCCAGGGATCTATCTGGGCCTGAAGTGTTTTATGTAGAACTGTTTTTCACTACAAATTGAATTTCATATATATATATGTAATATATGTAATATGTAATGTTACATAGTATATACGTATACATAATATGTATATATTATATACGTATACATAATATATGTATATATTATATACGTATACATATGTATATATTATATACGTATACATATGTATATATTATATACGTATACATAATATGTATATATTATATACGTATACATAATATGTATGTGTGTATATATTATATACATATACATAATATGTATATATGTGTGTATATATTATATACATATACATATGTATATATGTGTGTATATATATTATATACGTATACATATGTATATATGTGTGTATATATAATATACGTATACATATGTATATATGTGTGTATATATATTATATACCTATACATAATATGTATATATGTGTGTATATATTATATACATAATATGTATATGTGTGTGTATATATTATATACATGTATAATATATGTATATAGAATGTATATATTATATATGCATATATGTATATATAATGTATATATTATATATAATATATAATGTATAATTATATATATTATATATTACATGTATAATATGTAATATTACATATTATACATGTAATATATAATATATATAATGTAATATTACATATTATACATGTAATATATAATATATAATATGTAATATGTAATATTACATATACATGTATATATTATATATAATATATTATATATAATTATATATAATTACATATTATATATGCTATATTATATATGATATATAATGTGTAATATATAATATATAATATATATGTAATATATATGTAATAATATATATTACATATAAATTACATATATATTAATATATATATAATTATTACATATGTATGTATTATTATTGTATGTATGTAATACATACATACATATGTATGTATTATTATTGTATGTATGTAATACATACATACATATGTATGTATTATTACATATGTATGTATTATGTATGTAATATGTATTATTACATACATATTACACATATATAATATATAATATATATGTAATATATGTAATATATATGTTATATATATTATATTATATATAATATGTAATGTATATGTAATATATATTATATATTATATAATATGTAATATATATGTAATGTATATGTGATCTATTTATTCTCAAGTGAGCCTTGGTAGTTTGCATTTTCTCAAAGATTTTTGTCCATTTCATCTAACTTGCTGAATTTATGAGCATAGAGTGGTTTATAATATTTTTGTACTATTCTTCTGTCTGCAGGTACTAGAGTGATATTCTCTCCTTTATTCCTGATGTTAGCAATTTAGTCATTTCTCCTTTAGTCCTGATCTGTCTTGTTGGAAGTTTATTAGTTTTATTGATCTCAGATAACTAGCTTTGGGTTTCATTGATTATCTTTACTATTATTTTTGTTTCCTATTTCTTTTTTTAAATTTAAATAGAGACAGCTCTTGCTATGCTACCCAGGCCAGTCTCAAACTCCTTGACTCAAGCAATCTTCCTGCCTTGGCCTCCCAAAGTGCTGGGATTACACACATGAGCCATCAGGAACCCAGCCAGTTTCTATTTCTTAGATGTCTGCTGTGATATTTATCATGTGCTTTCTCCTGCTTATTTTGGCCTTTATTTGTTCTTTTTCTAGTTTCTGAAAGTGGAATCTGATGTCATTTGTCAGAAACTTAACTTTTTTTCTACGATGGATTATTTAGTGCTATACCTCTCCCTATAAGCACTACTTTAGCTGCATCCTACAGTTTTTAATATATTGTGGTTTTATTTTATGTTAGAGACAAGATTCCACTCTGTCACCCTGTCTGTCACCCAGGCTGGAGTGCAGTGGTCCAACCATCGCTCACTGTAACCGCAAACTCCCAGGCTCAAGTGATTCTCCTGCCCCAGCCTCCCAAGTTAGCTGGAACTATAGGCATGTGACACCATGCCCAGCTAATTTTTTAATGTTTACTTTTAGAGATGGGTCTTGTTGTGTTGCCTAGGCTGAGTGTTTTTATTTTTATTTGGTTCCAAATACTTTCTGATTTCCCTTTTCATTTCTACTTTGACCCATGGTTTATTTATAAATGTGTTATTTAATTTTAAAATATTTGAGGATGTTCTAGGTATCTTTCTAATATTGATTTCTAATTTAATTCCACTGAGGTCGGAGAACATACTGAGAATTTACTGAGACATGTCTTATGGCCCAGAATATGGTCTCTGTAATACATATTCTATATGCACTTGAAAAGAATGTATATTCTGTTTTTGGTTGGAGTATTCTATAAATGTCAATTAGGTCAAATTAGTTAATAGTGTTATGAAAGTCTTATATACTTACTGATTTACTATCTAATTATATTGTTACAATTTTGTTTCAGCAGTCAATTATCTCATGAAGCTACTTACATAATAAAAATCTCATGATAGAACTATTATTTTACATATTTTATTATTTTTAAAGTGTTTCATTTACATAAAATAAGGTGAATAAAAAATAAGGTGTTTCAGGCATGAAGGTAAATTTGGTCCCTTTAACTCTATCTTGGCTGAAAGTCACAGTTCCAATGAGGTTTTAAGGCTGGCAATACTTTTCAATCTTCCTTGAATGATAATATATCACTATTTGAATAAGATGTTTCTCATTTTTTCCCAAGATTGCATATGTTCTCTTGTTTTTTTTCCAATTATTTATAGTTTCAGAATCTGGGACACATTTTCTAAGCATCTGGTTAATAACATTTCTCTAAGAAAGATTCAAGAGATCCTTGAGGAAATAAAATATTCTTGTAAAGGTCAAGAAAATTATGTGAAATGTCAAAACAAATTTGGAAAACTGCCATCTCTATAATTAACATTACCTTAAAATATAAATGATTTATTAAATAAAGATGTATTAGGTAAAACAATTGTCTGACTTTTGGGGAACTTTTTTTTTTTCAGACAGAGTCTTGCTCCGTCTCCAGGCTAGAGTGCAGTGGCGTGATCTCGGGTCACTGCAACCTCTGCCTCCTGGGTTCAAGCGATTCTCCCACCTCAGCTTCCCAAGTAGCTGGGCCTACAGGCATGCGCCACCACGTCCAGCTAATTTTTGTATTTTCAGTAGAGACGGGGTTTCACCATGTTGGCCAGGATGGTCTCCATCTCTTGGCCTCATGATCCGCCCACCTCTGCCTCCGAAAGTGCTGGGATGACAGGTGTGAGCCACCACGCCTGGCCAGGAACTTTTAATTTTGGCATAATTGCAAATGTATAGCAAATCTGCAACGGTTATGCAAAAAATCCCTGTATATCTCTTGCTCAGATTTTTAAATTGTTTTCATTTTATGCATTTGATTTTTTTAGAATACACTTTCAGACTTGATGTTGAAGAAGGAGTGGGAATCCCCCGAATACCTGTACATCCCATTGGATATAATGATGCAGAAATATTATTACGGTATAGTTTTCTTGTTGGATATGAGATTAAGATATTTTGCACTAGTTGTCTATTTTCTCATTGAAAACCAATATGGCATTCTTATGTTAAACACAAAGTTTTATAACTAAATAACTCCTGAAATAGGAATAACAGAGTATACTATCTTTTTATTTCATAAAAGTAGTCATTTTAGTGACTAAGAAATCAAAATAAAATATCGCTCTGTTCGCTACAAATGAAATTCTCAAATACAAAGCTATGTCCTAAGATAATTCTGATTTGAGATTTTTCAAGCAATTGAATTTTCATAGGTATTCATTAGATATTTATATTCAACGTCTAGTATAAGAATATGACAATGCCCCCCACTTACTAGAGGTATGACCTTGGATCAGTTGCTTAAACTTTCTCCAGCTCAGTTTCTTTATTTGTAAGATGAGGCTAGTAACTGTTTCTCCTTGATAGGGTTATTATAAGATCATATGAGTAAAATACATAGCACCGTATTTAGAATATAGTAAACAAACAATTATTGTATTCTATAACTGATATTTCTTTACATATCCCCCAACTCCCATTTTTAAATGCCTGTATGTGTATTACAACTTAATAATTGTTTGGGTGCCTACTGTGTAATCAGCAGCTTTTTTACAAATACATTTCTTCTCCTTAATGCAGTCATTAATTTCCTGTATTTAGGATATCTTGGATTCAGTGAGTCCCCACATAAATAATTAAGGTCAAAAATAAGGAGATAGCCTTCCCATTTGCCATGACTACTTTATTTTTTCTCTTTGCTCTCATCACTAACATATTACGTATTTTACTTACTGATTTCAGTATGGCTCTCTTGCTAGAAAATAAGCTCCACAAAGGGCGGGCTTTTTGACAGTACCTGGCACTTAGTAAATGACAAATATTTGTTATATATATGAATGAAATATTGTCATCAAACTTTAAAATTTCTCCTTAGAAATTGTGGTAGCCTTTTTCTGTCACTTTCATTTTATTTTGTCAGCTACTTGGGAGGAATTGCTCCACCAGATAAGAGTTGGAAGGGAGCCCTTAATGTGAGTTATAGTATCGGACCTGGCTTTACAGGGAGTGATTCTTTCAGGTAATTTTGCATTACTTTAATAGTCTGAAAAAGTTTTATATTTTTAATGGAAACATGTCAAGATAACTGTTCTGCCAGGGGTATTTTGCTTATCTCTTTTTCTCTTTCTAAACAACCATTTTACATTACTTAAGAAGTACTTACACATGAAATATTGAATTATTTCACTAGCAGCATCACAATATTAGTTTCACAGAATCTCAAAAATTAATATATTTGAATATAGGTTTAACATTTCAAAGATTTTTCAAAATTCTCTCTTCAGCTATTTTTTAAAAATAGTTTTTCAAATAACTTACAAAATGATATACATGTGAAAAACTAGGTGAAGGTGCTGGGTGTGGTGGCTCACACCTGGAATCCCAGCATTTGGGAGGCTGAGGCGGGCGGATCACCTGAGGTTGGGAGTTCAAGACCAGCCTGGCCAACAAGGAGAAACCCCGTTTCTACTAAAAATACAAAAATTAGCCAGGTGTGATGGTGGTGCATGCCTGTAATCCCAGCTACTTGGGAGGCTGAGGCAGGAGAATCACTTGAACCCAGGAAGCGGAGGTTGCGGTGAGCTGAGATCGCGCCATTGCACTTGAGCCTGGCCAACAAGACTGAAACTCCATCTAAAAAAAAAAAAAAAAAAAAAAACTAGGTGAAGTTAAGGGAGAGGTAAAGATGAAGAGAGAAGGGGGCCAAAATGTATAGATCACTTACTGTGTGGGTTAAATGAGTTTAAATGGGTAAATCACATAGTTACTATAAGACTATAAGCCTCAATAGAATTAATATTACAATTATTACTGTTATTAATACATGATAATACTCTTCTAGAAGAGATGTGATCACAAATTGTGTGTTTATTGAGCTTAGTCTTACAGAAAGAGTAAAAGTTTACCACTGGGTAAAGGGAGGCAAGAAATGCCAACTAGAGAAATCAGCTTGTACAGAGTAGTTGAACAGCGTGGCATGATCAGAACTTCAAGAAGTTTGATTTGCCTGAAATGTGATGGGAGAGAGAAATGTAACACTGATAAATCAGAGTGCATATAGCTGTTTTTATTAAACCAAAATTATTAAATCAGTCTTCTTTGCTAACAATTTACCCTTAACTACGTGAATTTGGATTCTCAGAATATTTTTTAGTTTCTGTAGGATTTCTTGTATTCCAGAAATTTTAAAGTATTAGAAGTCCAATTTCCTTGTTTTATAATAAGTTTATAAATGTTTGATTTATATGTGTTTATCTCTATCATTAAATCAGAACAGTGCTCTTTTAATTTGGGACTTTATTATCTAATTTGTGTATGCCCTCCAGAGAAAGGAAAATGTAACTTACTCAATGAAACATAAAGCCCTTTCTGATTTACAAACAGAAACATACAGACAGAGAAAACATATAACTTCAGTTCTACAATTTTAGTCACAAAGAGTAAACTCAAAAACATAAACATTCCTAGGTCTAGATATAAAATAGCTGTGCTCCTTCACTGTGAGCATAGAATTCTCTATTGGTTAGAACTCAAAGTGGACAAATAAACAACAACAAAACTAAAAACTAGATTCTCTCATGTCTCACCTCACAGAGATCTTGAAAATCCATTAATCCATTTACAGATATTATCAAATGACAAGACATAAAGGCCAACTCCAAATCATTGCTGCCACCAATGAGGACTAACTTAATTTGCCCTAAGCAAAGCAGAAACATAAAACAAAACATCAGTAGAGAAAAAATAAAGCTAGAGATATAGAGTATCAGCAAAGTTAAATTTCTACTGTTGTTTAGAATTTACATATGAGAGCCAAAAGAAGATATGAAGAATTGGTTTAAGCTGCCCATACCTGGTTCTGCAAAATGAATCCATTTTACCTCAGAGTGGAGCCTCCAAAAGTCTTCCACAGTGAGGAAAGGAACACAAACCTTCACTAGACAGATTGTGCATTTCAGTGGATTTGAATTATTTGCATTACTGTCATGTTTCTATAAGTTAACTTCTCTTTACAGAGCTGTAAAACAGTCTAGTTAAGGACACTGACAGGTAAAGTTGACCATAATGGATGAACCAAAGTTTTTCCCAATTTTTCCTTACAGGATTATATTCATTTATTTCATGAATATTTATTGAGCATTTCCTATGCCCCGGGAACCATTCTGGGTTCTGGGGATTCAGCAGTGAATAAAGTAGGCAAAAATCTCCTCCCTGTGGAGCCTGCATTCTAGAGTTCAGTTTATTTGAAACGTGATAAGTTTGAAGTAATAATAGGACAAATAAATATTCTTCTGGAGCTCAAAAATACTAAAAACGAGAAAGACGTAGGTTTAAAGACGTAGATGTGCTTCTTTGAGAATCTTAGCAGATAGCCTATGTTTTTGTTTAGACTAATATCAATTTTTTTCATTCCTCATATGTTGCATTTTTCTTTACTTAATTTTCTTCTTTTAATGACACAATACCGATGAATTTGGGTTTCTTACTAATCATATATCTAAGGCTCATATTTTTAGAAACACATGCTAAACAATATTTCTGCTTTTCTGCTATTAATTTTCATCTGTCAGTAGCAAAAAGAAATCATTTACTTAATGCCTTAAAATGAAAAAAAAAAAAACATCGATTAGTTTTCCTCTGAGGTACTTTTAGTTGAATATTGCAAATGGATTAAATATCAGAAGCACAGTATACTTTTGGTGGGGGTGAGGGAAGCCAGAATTTGTTCTTAACAATATACAAGTTTCGGGGGCTTATTCATTCTTCCATTAAAAAACGATCACAAACTAGAAACAACGGAGGTCTCCCTACCTTTAGAATAAATGATGATTAATTTTGTTCCCTTGGGGAAAAGTAGCATTTTCCCATGTCATCTTGGATTCATAAAATGTGAGTGATACTTTGTTTTTTCTGTCTGGCTGAGCTTGATATTTTCCCTTGTTTTCTAATTCGGTTGATTGTAACTCATGAATGAATATTTAAAAGCCTGACCCAAATCAGAATCAACAATCATGGCCTAGAAACATTTCATTATGTAGTTGTGCATTGTAGCAGGAGCTTCCCAAATTCTCATTTAACAACAGAATTTTTTATGTTTTTTATAGGTGGCACTCAACCAGCTCTTAAACTTACATATCATTTCCATAATCATAAAGAAAATTTTTGAACCTCGGATTTAATATAAATATAAATAGATACATTTAAATAATATGCTTATACTTTTTTCTTTATTACATAATGGGCTGTCTTCTTCGTTTTCATAATTAACTGGGGTATATTTTTACATTTTAGAATAAATATGACATTTTGAATAATAGAATATTTTGAATTTTAAATAAATAACAATTTAGCTATGAGAAAATAATATAAAATAGACAGCTTTTAAAATTTGACTTCAAGGTGCATGCTTAGGTGCTTAGAAGTAAATTGGCATAATGTCTGTACCTTACTTGCAAATGCTTCAACAGTGTTAACAATTATTGAATTTAGGTGGTAGAGATATGAGAATCCATTATGCTATTGCACAGCTTTTCATAATAAAACACTATTATGAAAATAGTTTTTTATAATAAAACACTGTAAAAAACATAATTTGCTGTACTAAGTAATTTATTCCTTTTAAAATTCTAGGAAGGTTAGAATGCATGTTTATAACATCAATAAAATTACAAGGATTTACAATGTAGTTGGAACTATCAGAGGATCTGTGGAACCTGGTGAGTCACATAATTTTTTAAAACATTTTGTTTTTACAAAAATTAAAGGGTAAGTAAAGATAAATTGTAGTCAACAATTGAAGTGGGGTTTTTTGGCTGATTTGAAACTACTAAATTTTGAGGAAAACTGTACAAATCTAAAAGAAGATTTTACTTTATAGTGTTGTCTTCTATAGAGGAAACTCAAGCAAGAGGATGTTTATTTTAAAAACATAAATTACAAATATTTATAATGTATTCAAAGTTGTAGGTTTCTTGAACGTATTATTTTCCAGACAGGTATGTTATTCTGGGAGGTCACCGGGACTCCTGGGTATTTGGAGCTATTGACCCAACCAGTGGGGTTGCTGTTTTGCAAGAAATTGCCCGGAGTTTTGGAAAACTGATGAGTAAAGGTAAACAACCTTTCTTTCCTAGGTGATGACAAAAAGTGACTTACTGAATTTTCTTTTATTTTTTAGGCAGTTGTACCTAACCACGTGTGTTAACAATTCTTACAGGCTGGAGACCTAGAAGAACTATCATTTTTGCCAGCTGGGATGCAGAAGAATTTGGACTTCTGGGTTCCACAGAATGGGCTGAGGTAAATAAGACAAAGAAGGTTCTTATTATTTTTTTGGTCAACAGGGAACAAATATGTATGTGTCTCAGGATGATCAAAAATATATTCCATTACCTAATATGGTTTTGTTTTGGAGAATGACTCAAGACAATTTAAGAAATAGTTTATTTTTACTTTCACATCAGTTTGGCAATAACCTTTTAGTACTAGACTGCAGACAGAGTTATTGCCTCTTGTCAAAATATTTTCGTTGCCATTTGCATTTGTTTTATAAAAAATAAGAAAAATCAGTAAGCTCAGAAAATAATCAAAATTAATGAGATATTTTTGATGATAATTTACTTATCTAAAAACTGATACAGATGCTTAGAGCTAATTTTCAAGTTTTTGAAGTTTCTTTAGAGTTCTTCCATCTGAGAAAATATAAGATGTTCTATTAAGATGGCCATATATTGACTATATTTTCACATTGACAGATTCCATTTAAAATGGCAACCATAAGTATACTTTAGCATTTACAACAGATATGTGCTTCATTGTTAAGTATAAAGTGATAATTCTGTGAATTGAATTACTTTAATAAATTGACCTGCTTTACAATTTCATAGGTGGGGTTTTTTTTCTTCACATATGATTGTCATTTGTCACTGACTCTTAATTATTTATATTTAAGTGTCTCTCCTAGGGCCCTTTTCTTCCAACTTCTTCCTTTAGTCTCTCTGTCAAGTAATCTCTAAGTTCTTAAATGTAGAAGGTAAGCACATTCATTTTTTTAACTTTTAAGTTCAGGGTACAAGTGCAGGTATGTTACATAGGTAAACTGTGTCATGGGGATTTGCCACGCTGTTCAACTACTCTGTACAAGCTGATTTCTCTAGTTGGCATTTCCTGCCTGCCTTGACGCAGTGGTAAACTTTTACTCTTTCTGTAAGAGTAAGCTCAATAAACACACAATTTGTGATCACATCTTTTCTAGAAGAGTGTTATCATGTATTAATAATAATAATTGTAATAATATTTCTATTGAGCTTTACAGTAGCTATGTGATTTACCCATTTTAACTCATTTAATCCACACAGTAAGTGATCAATAAATGTTGGCTCCCTTCTCTCTTCATCTTTACCCCTCCCTTAACTTCACCTGGTTTTTCACATGTATATCATTTTGAAAGTTATTTGAAAAACTATTTTAAAAACTAGGTGAAGAGAGAATTTTGAAAAACCTGGTTTGAAATGTTAAACCTATAACTCAAATGTAGTAATTTTTGAGACTCTATGAAACTAATATTGTGGTATTACTAGTGAAAGATTATTTCATCACCCAGGTATTAAGCCCAGTACCCACTAGTTATTTTTCCTGACCCTTTCCCTTCTCCCACCTTCCACCCTTTGAAAGTCCCCAGTGTGTTGTTCCCCTCTATGTGTCCATGGGTTCTCATCATTTAACTCCCACTTATAAGTGAGAACATGTGGTATTTATTTTTCTGTTTCAACATTAGCTTGCCAAGAATAATGGTCTTCATCTCCATCCATGTCCCTGCAAACAACATAGTCTCATCATTTTTTACGACTGTGTAGTATTCCAAGGTGTACATGTACCACATTTTCTTCATCAAGTCTGTCATTGATGGATATCTGGGTTGAATTCATGTCTTTGCTATTATGAATAATGCTGCAATGAACATATGTGTGTATGTGTCTTTATAATAGAATGATATATTTCTTTGGTTATATACCCAGTAATGGGATTGCTGGGTCCAGTAGTATTTCCAGGTAGGTGCACTACATAAGTACTTACCTTCCCTCCTCCATCTGCTAGTTATCATTTATAAGTCCAGATTTTATAGAGCTGTTTTAAAATATGGCAAACCTGTCTTGCCATTGTGTTTAGTTTTGAAAATGCTTTCCTCCTAACTCAGTTTCTCTTACATTAGTTTAAAATACTATAATAGGAATAATATGAATTAAACAAATACAGAGGGGGTAAAAATCCCACTCACAATTACTTGTCTGGTATCACCCTTTGTTGATTACATTTACACTGCGAATTGTTATTTTCACATTGGTATTATTAATGGGCATTTTGAAACTATAACATTAATTTGATGAATCAAATTTTATTAGTTCAGGTCATTATCTTTTTTCCCCTTGCCCCTGTGGTGGGTGAGGTCATTTGCTTTTAGAAACATGCGATTTAGAAACATGTGATTTCTTGTGATACATATATAAACACATATAAACACATGCATCTGTTTTTTAAATTTCAGCAGCTGAACATAAAGAAATCTAATATATAAAATAATAAAAACGCTTTGCATTAATTTATAAACATGTGCATTAAAAGGCAATTTCAATACACTTTCCAGTTTTGTGCCAGGTTCTTGATTATATTCAGTAGCATGCTTACCTTCTTTAAATACACATAAGGAATCTTCTTTATTTTCACTATAAATCTGTTATAATGGAAACTCTGATTTTATATTTCTCTGTAATGGAGTCAACTATCACCTGGCCTATGCAGGCAAGTGCAAAGAGGTGACAGTTTTTATTTGTGCCATAACCACACACAGCTTTAAATGTTTTTACTATAACATATTTTAGAAAGCTAACAAGCTAGAGAGAGCGGTGAAGGGCTCTCTCAGCATGTTCCTCTCTGTCTGTGTGTTAGTTTTGCTTTACTTTTTCTTTAATCTGTGTCTGTGTGTGTGTGTTTGTGTATGTGTATGAGAGAGAGAGAGCGAAAGAGTCTTATTTTTGTCTTAATGTGTGCCTCCTCTAATTTTTTGTCTTCCTTTTTTCTTTCACTTCATATACATAGTAAATATAAACAAATGGAAATTTTATATTTCTCACTTTTGAAATGATAAATTTACTTGGGTATCCCCTCCATAAATGGATGTCAAACTTCAATGTATGTAAGTGTCAATTGCCAGTTATATCTATTAGGAAATACAGATTGGCTGGGCGCGGTGGCTCACGCCTGTTATCCCAGCACTTTGGGAGGCCAAGGCGGGCGGATCACGAGGTCAGGAGATCGAGACCATTCTGGCTAACATGGTGAAACCCCACCTCTACTAAAAATACAAAAAATAAGCCAGGCGCAGTGGTGGGTGCCTGTAGTCCCAGCTACTCGGGAGGCTGAGGCAGGAGAATGGCGTGAACCCGGGAGGTGGAGCTTGCAGTGAGCAGAGACAGCGCTACTGCACTCTGGCCTGGGCAAAAGAGCAAGATTCTGTCTCCAAAAAAAAAAAAAAAAAGAAAATGCAGATTTCCACCCGGCACGGTGGCTCATGCCTGTAATCTCAGCACTTTGGGAGGCTGAGACAGGTGGATCACCTGAGGTCAGGAGTTCGAGAACAGCCTGGCCAACATGGTGAAACCCCGTGTCTATTAAAAATACAAAAATTAGCCAGGCGTCGTGGTGAGAGGTGACAGCATGCTGGCAGCCCTCGCTCGCTCTCGGCGCCTCCTCGGCCTTGGCGCCCACTCTGGCCACGCTTGAGGAGCCCTTCAGCCCGCCGCTGCACTGTGGGAGCCCCTTTCTGGGCTGGCCAAGGCTGGAGCCGGCTCCCTCAGCTTGCTGGGAGCTGTGGAGGGAAGGAGCGGGCGGGAACCGGGGCTGCGCGGGCGCTTGCGGCCCAGCGAGAGTTCCGGGTGGGCGTGGGCTCAGCGGGCCCGCCCTCGGAGGCGCCGGCCAGCCTGCAAGCCCGGGGCAGTAAGGGGCTTAGCGCCTGGGCCAGCAGCTGTTGTGCTCGATTTCTCGCTGGGCCTTAGCTGCCTCCCCGCAGGGCAGGGCTTCCGACCTGCAGCCCACCATGCCTGAGCCTGCGCCCCCGCCGCGGCCGCTGCACAGCCGGAGCCTCCCGACGAGCACCGCTTCCTGCTCCACGGCGACCAGTCCCATCGACTGACCAAGGGCTGAGAAGTGCCGGCGCACATCGTGGGACTGGCAGGCAGCTCCACCTGTGGCCCCGGTGTGGGATCCACTGAGTGAAGCCAGCTGGGCTCCTGAGTCTGGTGGGGACTTGGAGAATCTTTATGTCTAGCTAAGGGATTGTAAATACACCAATCAGCACTCTGTATCTAGCTCAAGGTTTGTAAACACACCAATCAGCACCCTGTGTCTAGCTCAGGGTTTGTGAATGCACCAATCCACACTCTATATCTAGCTAATCTAGTGGGGACGTGGGGAAAGAACTTTTGTGTGTAGCTCAGGGATTGTAAACGCACCTATCAGCACCCTGTCAAAACGGAGCAATCGGCTCTCTGTAAAACAGACCAATCGGCTCTCTGTAAAATGGACCAGTCAGCAGGATGTGGGTGGGGTCAGATAAGAGAATAAAAGCAGGCTGCCGGAGCAGCAGTGGCAACCCTCTGGGGTCTCCTTCCACGTTGTGAAAGATTTGTTCTTTTGCTCTTTGCAATATTGCTGCTGCTGACTCCTTGGGTCCACACTGCCTTTATGAGCTGTAACACTCACCTTGAAGGTCTGCAACTTTACTCGTGAAGCCAGTGAGACTACGAACCCACCAGGAGGAAGGAACAACTCCAGATGGGCCGCCTTAAGAGTAACACTCACCGTGAAGGTCTGCAGCTTCACTTCTGAGCCAGCGAGACCACAAACCCACCAGAAGGAAGAAACTCTGAACACATCCGAACATCAGTAGGAATAAACTCCGGACACGCCGCCTTTAAGAACGGTAACACTCACCGCGAGGGTCCGCGGCTTCATTCTTGAAGTCAGTGAGATCAAGAACCCACCAATTCTGGACACAGTGGCACACACCTGTAATCCCGGGTACTCCGGAGGCTGAGTCAAGAGAATTGTTTGAACCTGGGAGGCCGTGGTTGCAGTGAGCTGAGATCGTGCCGCTGCATTCTAGCCTGGGCAACAGAGTGAGTCTCTGTCTCTAAAATAAAATAAAATAATAAAATACAGATTGCCAGGCCTCACTTTTAGCCTCACTGTGAGTTCTGATTCAGTAGATCTAGGGCAGGGCCCTAGAATATGGGAGCCACATCCCTGCATAGTCTGATGCAGGGAATCAAGGAACCACACTTTGAAAATATTTTTTTTTCTTAGGGCTCTCTGCTATTGCTATAAACAGTAGCTATTGCTTCATAGTATCCTTAATTCTTATATTAATTGCGTAATTGTTGTTAACAAACTGGTTTTCTGCATTTTCTCAGAAATTAGGGTCACAGATGGACCTAGCTATTTAATTGTGAAAGATACTTGTAAACCGCTTTTCCACGAAATTAATTTGCTTATTTTGTTTACATTTTCACAACTAAGTAATGTGAATTAAGTAACAACTTTGCTTCAACTACAGGAGAATGTCAAAATACTCCAGGAGAGAAGCATTGCTTATATCAACTCGGATTCATCTATAGAAGGTAAATTTTATTTCAATTTGAAGTGAAATTTTCAGAAAGGAAATTTTACTTCAAGTAACTTTTATTATTGAGTAGAATACCATCTACTAAGACTATAAATTCTAGCTTATTAAGCACCTCAGATATCCCCTTCCTTTGAGATGCCTCAGTAATACCTTTATTTTTCATTTTGCCACAGAGAAAATAATTAGGATTCATATGAATTGATATGATTCATAACTAAGCTATTGCTTTTAATTTCTTTGATATATTTACTATTTGTTTATATTACTACTTAAAACTCTAGTATTAACCACATATTTTCTCGATAAAGATATTAATGGAATTTGGCTAAAACAGTTCAGAAGAAAGGTTTTGCAGACTATTCTGTGTAGAAATATTTCCTGTATTTGTTGTAACAAATTTGAAGTAAGTGTACTCACTTACTCACTCCTTTTGAACTACAAACTCCTATTGAATCTAGCTCAGGATCACCTGAGCCCAGGAGTGTAAGCCATAGAGAGACCCTGACTCTCAAAAAAAAAAAAAGAAAAAGAAAAAGAAAAAAACTGATCTGGATTGTCTACGCCAACAGGACTTGATTTCTGATTAGCACTACTATGGAGACAGTATGATTCAGAAAATGAAGAGATTCGTGTCTCTAGGCTTTCATTGCATTGTGATTATTTCTAAATAAATGTTAGAACCTAATAATTACTGACATGGCTTTGTCTAATATCTTGATATATACTATTGCATAGAATGAAACAAGTAAAAAATTAATGCTACAGACTTACCACTTCCTTTGCCAAAGTGCCCCTAAGAATTGCTGCCATGAGAATGACCCTTATAATCACTGTGACAGCTGCTGCCTTAGCAACCAAAGTCCACCAAGACCTTCTACTATTCAGAATATTTGGTGCAGGCTCTCTTGCTCCTGAAGAACTATTTCCACCCTGTTTTATTCTTTGGGAATAAAATCTTTGATTTGAAGATCATTATATCTTGTTTAAAATTAGAAAATAAAGTTAGAATTAAACAAATGGAATTTCATTTAGAAGTATGAAATAATACTCTGTGTCTTATTTATTTTTCAGGCAATTATACTCTCAGAGTTGACTGTACTCCCCTTCTTTACCAATTAGTGTATAAACTGACAAAAGAGGTATATAAGGAAATGTGTCTTCATATGTTCTCTTTTGAATGGATAAATGAATAACGTGTGTTCCCCCCTAAATTAATGGTACTTATTTTTAAGCTGGTGAGAGAACATAATAGAATCATATAAACAAAACAAAATCTTTAATATGCCATTTACCTATATGACATAACTAAGAAGATATTATCACCAGCTTCTTTGTTCTAGCAATAGTTCTTATTAATAATTGTGTAAATAGTTGTAACATGTATTTATCTGGCAGAGGTATTTGATATAGCAGAAAGAACACTGAGTTGGAATAGAAAGGCATACAGTTAAAAAACTGTCTTAGCTACTCATTCATTCATTCAACAAATATTCACTGAGTGGTCACTATATGTCAGATTCTACAAAATGAATTATAGCAGCAATAGTGATAAGGGGACAAGGTCACTGAATTCGAAGACTTTGTAATCTAGAGAGGACACAGATTGGTAAATGAGGAATTAGAATTCACTAGAATATTTGATACTATGTATGATGGAGAACAGTTATGGAATAGAGAATATTAAATCCTGAGGTGGCTGGGGGAAGTTGAGGAGCATAAGAAGAGGTTTGCAGAGTCACTGATGTTTGGACTGTCAAATGAAGGGATGTAGAAGTAAGGGAGAGGGCATTCTAAGCAGAGGACACAGTATCTAAAAAAGATGTGGAGGTTTAAAAGAACGTATTTCCTGATCTGAAGGTAGCTCAGCATGGCCAAGCCAAAGGCGTTGGTGGGAAAGATGGTAAGAAATGAGGCATAACCAATGGGCCAAGGAGTTCAGAAATCTGTTATGGAGAAATCATTAAAGAATTTCTAACAAGGTTGTTCATTGTTTTATGTCAGTGTAGTGAATACATTAAGTAGTTGCAAGTCTAAAGGCAAAATGGAAATAATTCTGCAGGCTTGCTAATCTCCCAGTAATTTATAAATATTAAATGAGTTATAGATATTTTAAGAACTCTAAAATCTAAAGGACTCTGAATCTCTAAAACTTATATAATCTACTCATTTAATATCTGTGAACATCATTTAAATAGTTCCTTGCCAAAGAATTTACCTGTGGAAATGTTTGCTTCAAGGTCATCCTTAGATAACAATATGAAGTAGATATCACTTCTCTCTGGGTACTATTAATATTTCCTCCCTTAATCTTACCCCTCTCTTTTTCATGTCTTTAAAAACTAGTTTTCCAAATGAAACTCCTCTCATTTTCCTCATCACAATGCTCTCACCATCTTGGGTAGCTGATGTCTTTGATCCTTTCATTGGAATGTTCCATAAAAGCATCTTATCTAAAAGTAAGCTGAAAAGAAAATCTTTACTGAGAGAACCCTTTTTGGAACAGGAATTTATGATTTGTGCTGTCCTAGAGAGATGATCCCTGGCCTTGATGTCAGGAATGATAAGAATTTGGTGGTTGATAAGGGAGAAGTTGACATCTGTGCCTCTTTGTACAAAGATAAATTCTTATCTGTGGGCATGCCAAGACCCAGTAGACAAAGGAGACTTGTTTTTACTCTCCTGTAAACTGATTATTACAATTTTATTAATCCCTAGTGTGTGTTAGCACAAATAGTCAAGCCATATTGGTGACTTGAGGATAGTGTAGGGGTGAGAGACAAGGCTGAGCTTGGAGAGAAGGGCAGCTGCCAGATGCAGCAAGAAATGGGGCAAAGTGTTGCTAAATAAGAGGAGGGCTATCAATTCTGACAATGCATGTAGCTGAGGTAAGACTCATCTAGCCGAGTGTGGTGGCACATGCCTATAGTTCCAGCTGAGGCAGTAGGATCACCTGAGCCCAGGAGTGTAAGCCATAGAAATCCTGACAAAAAAAGAAAGAAAAGAAAAAAGAAAGAAAGAAAGCTGATCTGGATTTTCTAGGCCAACGGGACGTGATTTCTGATTGGCACTATTATGGAGACAGTATGATTCAGAAAATGAAGAGGGTTTTACTGGGAGTTCAATCCAAGCAGGATGTAGGAACTGGAACAGAATCTCTCTCAACCATTGTAAATTGGCAGGAGCAGAGTAGAGAGTAGAACCCAGTCAGCTGGCTAGAAATGAGCAGAACATCTCTGCAGCTGCCTCATGTTGGTGAGGAAGGGTGTAGAGTGCCAAGACTTTCTAAGCTGTGGACCCTCTATGCAGTCATAAAATATCATCTCATTCATACAAAGCTAAGGGCAAGTGACCACTTCCCAGCCCTACCATTACTCTGTGGATGGCAGTGGATTCACCACTGTTACCTTCTACTTGAAGGCTGATGAGGGCTTGTGTTATCAGTAGACACAACACATTTGTGCCTCTAAATAAGTGGGGTGAGATTGAAACAGGGAAATTGTTCAAAATCATGTGCCAATACCCAACATCTTTATTAGATGCTCTTAAATTTAATTGCCATTTTCTCAGAAAGCCCTTACTTGGAGACATATCTATCTCTCATCCCCACATCTCTTTATAGCACTTTGATATTTTCTTTTAAACTGCTTATTATAATTTTGTATTACAAAATTTGTTTGGTGTGTGTATCCCCAATTAGATTTCATTGTGAGGTCCAAGAGGGTAGAGACTATGTCTCTGTTTCCGCATCTCTTTTCTGAGTTCAGTGCTTAGTAAATATCTATAGAAAAATTAAGAATAGTGGCACAGAAGTTAGAATAACCAACTCTGTCTAAAGGCCAGAGAAAATACCAGATGTTTATATTCAGAAAGGTACCATTATCCCCAGTTTTACAGGTGAGAAGACTAAGGTTCAAAGAGGGGAACAAATACACCAAGTTATAATGCTTTCACAGTTACTTAAGTAGGGTCTGCCTTGGGTCTATTTTTGAGCAAATCAGTGTTATAAACAAACAAGAAAACAAAATATAGTCAATATGTGTAGTAGTCTAGATTTAAAATAGACCAATTTGACTCCACAGTCCACAATGTTTTCACCACATGTCTCTGCTCTTCTTAGAGTGTCAAAAGACAAGGCAAGTATAAGTTTGTAAATGTATTTTTAATGAAAGGAGTAAAAATGTATATATATACACACACACACACACGAGCTCTTAAAAATTCCCAAGTAGAAATCTGAGGTTATGTAGAGTTTTTTAAAAAATCCATAAAATTTTAACTTTGTTTAAACATAATAAGACTGTCTAAAAGAATAGTCCCAGCGCTAACCCCTGCCTGCCCTGCAAAACCAAGACTTATAGGTTAAGAA
The DNA here is from genome assembly GCF_000001405.40 of Homo sapiens. Lineage (NCBI taxonomy): Eukaryota > Metazoa > Chordata > Mammalia > Primates > Hominidae > Homo > Homo sapiens. The sequence goes on from NW_019805497.1 coordinate 79,487, forward strand.
GCTGAGCTTGAAATTATGTCACCTCTATTGTTCTGAGACCTCTTTATAGGTCTTATTAGGCAAAAATAATTTACAAAAGCAAATGTTTTATCTGAAGTTTTCTCCAGTGTCTTCCCACTAAAAGAAATCTAAGCTGCCAAACATTAATTAAAATGGCATTTGTAAAGATTTTAAGTTCTATTTAAAAGTTTACCAAAATAAGCAGGAAATTACATCTTAGGTACATGGCAAAATTACCAACACAGGTAGACATCATGAATAAAAAATAATTTGGGCTAGATTTATTTCTTGCCATTTGCAAAAATATAATTTTTCTATAAAACATATACATGTGTATAAATATATACATGTACATATGTTATTAAAAGTAGAAGTTGATGACAAATAATATATAGTTTTATTTTGGCATAAATGTAGTTGCTTCTACCCCTAATTTCCAGTATTTGATTTCTCTTTCCAGATCCCCAGCCCTGATGATGGGTTTGAGAGTAAATCACTGTATGAAAGCTGGTTGGAAAAAGACCCTTCACCTGAAAATAAAAATTTGCCTAGGTAAGTTACTGATATGCACCTTTTCTACTGTAGGATAAGTTATGAATTCCCCTCTGCCTCTTGTTTCTCCAAGCATGAAATTCTCAAGCGTCTCATCAATAATTTGAGCCAAGAAAAGATAATGAAGAATTCCTGGCCGAGCCCAGTAGCTCACGCCTATAATCCTAGCACTTTGGGAGGCCGAGGCGGGTGGATCACCTGAGGTCAGGCATTGGAGACCAGCCTGGCCAACACGGCGAAACCCTGTCTCTACTAAAAATACAAAATTAGCCGGTCATGGTAGCGGGCACTTGTAATCCCAGTTACTCAGGAGGCTGAGGCAGGAGAATTGCTTGAACCCGGGAGGCAGAGGTTGCAGTGAGCCGAGATCGTGCCATTGCATTCCAACCTGGGCAACAAGAGTGAAACTCCATCTCAAAAAAAAAAAAAATAAGAATTCTTCTATCCAGTTTTGTTTTGCTGATTAGCCAGCATGTGAAGTCTTTCAGTCTATGTTAGAGCACAAATAGATCTAGTTTTGCAAATTTTTAGCCAAAATAGTTTCGCTACATTATTAGCCATTAGTTGGCATTCTTGCTTAAAATTTCATTTACATATGTATTAGGTGTATTAATATATAATATAACTTCAGATGATAATGATGAAAAGACAAATGCTAGATTATTTGCTTGTAAATTTATTAAGGAACATTATCAGTAACCACCAAATTGTGTCTTTACCTGTGATTTAGAATTTATATAAATATTATTTTATTTTTTATGTCATCTCATTCATGCTACAGCAGCTTTCTTAAATTTATTTTATATTTATTTGTTTTTATTTTCTTTTTTCTAAACATTATGTAATAAAAAGTATATATTTGTTTTCTACTGTAGTGCCATTTCTAATACAGACTGAGCATTCCTAACTCAAAAACCTGAAATCTGAAGTGCTCCAATATCCAAAACTTTTTGAGCACCAACATGATGTCACAAGTGGAAAATTCCACACCTTATAGCACTTAACACAAACTTTGTTTCATGCACAAAATTATTTAAAATATTATGTAAAATTAAGTTTAGGCTATGTTTATAAGATACATATGAAACATAAATGAATTTTATGTTTAGACTTGGGCCCCATCCCCAAGATATCTCACTGCATATATGTAAATATTCATAGTTGGAAAAAAATCTGAAGTCCAAAATATTTCTGGTCCCAAGCATTTCATATGGGATACTCAACTTGTACAAGCAAATAATAGTAACAGTTTATAGCTTTATTCCTCATTTCAAATCAGTCTTGTGAAAGTTTGAATGTGGGTCCATTATAAAACTTTCACATGCCAATTCAACAAAAACAGTAAAATACAAAAATGATTTCTAAAACATTGAAGAGGTCAGTCTCAAAAACATATCTACTAACCTAATAGTTTGGAAATAAACAGTTATGTTATTAATGAACATGCAATTTTATATTCTGCTTTCATGACTTACCATTATTTTACTAAAAATTTTCATGTCTTACATTTTATTTATGTATATGCATATATATGTGATAGATCAACAGAGGTTTCCTAATCATATGCAAAGAAATAAATTATAATTAGATTTATTTCTAAAATGAGGCACATTTATATTCTTCATGATTTTAAAAGTAGATTTTTTTATGGCAGTTTTCTTACTAGATGATAGTTCTCTGAGGGTAGGGCCCACGTCTTCATTGTTTTCCCCTCTAAACAAAAATGTAAATGCTGAAGATATGATGGAGAGCATCATCACAAGATGCAGTCTTTGGTGGCACAGCCCAATTCTTGTTATAGGTTGGTGCAAAAGTATTTGCAGTTTTTGCCATTATTTTTAATTTTCAGCATTACTTTTAATTTTACAGCAATTTTCCTGCAGATTATGGGAAAATGTCTTGATGGTGGTTGACCTTTTTTAAATTCTTATAAATGTAATATATAATTCCTTGCTATTCTTGGGGCAGGATTCCTTGTCCCATCTATTTAACTTTGTATCATTTACTTGTTTATGTGTGTGTGTGTGTGTGTGTGTGGATTGCATTCTACATCTAGAATCAATAAGCTGGGATCTGGAAGTGACTTTGAAGCTTATTTTCAGAGACTTGGAATTGCTTCAGGCAGAGCCCGTTACACTAAGAATAAGGTAAGCCATTTTATCATTTTGAATATATAACATTTCATCTACAGTCCTTTGGCGAAGAATGTCACTGAGTTGTTTGGCACCAGACACCTGGTGGATGTGGCCTGGGAAGAGTTCCCAGGGATAGAGATAGACTGCATGTCCCTTTCCAGATGGACAAGGAAGCAATTTGAGTAATTTTGTGAAAATTTCATTGTTAGGGTTAATCAAATAAATGGTGATTCACAGAGTAATGCCAGACACTTATCTGGTTAATCAGTACTAAGTAGTTCACATCCTTTTCCTGATTTGTCAGAAAACTCTCATTCTCTAGACTAGTCTTGCAGGCTCTGATGTACTTTTCATGAGGATAAATGCAGTTGGAGAACATATTTTGGTCAAGAGGAGCATTAGGGTAAGATTCATTATTGTCGGTAGCTCCTCTTCATATTGCCACTTCTGCCTGTCACCTGAGTCAAGGGTTCTTGGTTGGGAAATAAAGCAAGTTTCTCTTTTAACTTGATCCCCTTTTCTGTTCTGCACTGACTGGTTTGCACTACTGTCACACAGACATCCTGATGATATGCAGGTACTTGGATATAACCAATATATACCATGTTTGCTCATCAATGTTATAAATTATTTCATAAACCAAATTGAAGATTACAGTAGCAGACACAGATTTGTCATAGATTTTAATCAATCTTCAAATCATAATTACAGTACATCTAAATCTTGCTTGCCCATTATATGTATATCACTTGCAAATTTGACTGTTCAGAATACAACAAAGAACAAAGAAATAAAAGCAACCCCAGAGTAACCCAAAATAGATAAACTCAGAATGCTTACATTCATTACAATTAATACATAAATGATGTGTTTTAACTCTTTGTCAAGGCCTGTTCACTTTTATACTCTGTCTTCTGTAATTTGCTCAAAGTTATCTAGTTTCTAAGACCACTTTAGATTAGAAGCAGATAATTAGATAGAAGGAGAAGGACTGATAAGGAGATTGCTTTTTAGTGATACTAACAGCAGTAAGAACGATAGCCATACAAGGTGGCAAATAATAAAAACTAAAATTAGAAAAGGCAGACCGAAGAACTAAAAAGAATATTTATACGGGATACTACTATGTAATAATTCATATTCATAATGGTACCTTAATTATGTAATAAAGCTTAAATGACATTTAGATATACACTGTTTGAGAAGGAAGGGAAGTTACTTAAATAAATCATCCTTAAGCTGTGTACTTAGCTGCCCAGAACCTTTTTTTTTTTTTTACCAATCAATTGATAGATAACTTTGAACTATGCTGAGGTGCAATTTGAATATGTATTCCCTAATTTTAGTTATCGAAGATACAAGGAGAAAATGTTCAAGGTGTAGCATCTTGAATGAAGGTTACATAAATTATAAAACAAATAATGAGAAAATTTTTAAAACCAGTGAATATTTGGCTATAGTGTTTTCGTTATTAGCGTTTTGCCTCCTTGTGGTAAAACTCAGGGTGTTATATGGTTGTATTTTTTCTTTTTCTTGTTTTTTTTTTTTTTTTTTTTTTTTTTTTTTTTTTTTTTGTATTTTTAGTAGAGACAGGGTTTCTCCATGTTGCCCAGGCTGGTCTTGAACTCCTGAGCTCAGGCAATCCACCTGCCTTGGCTTCCCAAAGTGCTAGGATTACAGATGTGAGCCACCATGACTGGCTGGTTGTTATTTTTTCTATAGTTATTTTTATGCTTACATAAAAATATTATAACTTGAATATTTAATGTTTATTTATACTTGCCTCTCCATTTTTTTTTCAGAAAACAGATAAGTACAGCAGCTACCCAGTGTACCACACAATTTATGAGACATTTGAATTGGTAGAGAAATTTTATGACCCCACATTTAAAAAACAACTTTCTGTGGCTCAATTACGAGGAGCACTGGTATATGAGCTTGTGGATTCTAAAATCATTCCTTTTAATATTCAAGACTATGCAGAAGCTTTGAAAAACTATGCAGCAAGTATCTATAATCTATCTAAGAAACATGATCAACAATTGACAGACCATGGAGTATCATTTGGTAAGAAATAGTTGGGCAGATATTTTACAGTCTTTAAGTTAGAGCTTTAAGATATTATCTCCTATGATGATCAATGCATATTGTTTCATCCTAGAATACATATTTGCCTTACTTATTTTGACTTCTACACAAAAACTTAAAACAAACACCTATTAAAGAATCTGATTTAATCTGGCATGTATAGAATGAATCCATTATGGCTGAGTTATTACCACAAACATTGGGATGGTAAACATTTTTCTTGTATTATGGCCTTTAAAAACATTTTTACTGGCTGGGTGCGGTGGCTCACGCCTGTAATCCCAGCACTTTGGGAGGCTGAGGCGGGCAGATGATGAGGTCAGGAGATCGAGACCATTCTGGCTATTATGGTGAAACCGCGTCTCTACTGAAAATACAAAAAACTAGCTGGGCATGGTGGTGGGCGCCTGTAGTCTCAGCTACTCGGGAGGCTGAGGCAGGAGAATGGCGTGAACCTGGGAGGCAGAGCTTGCAGTGAGCTGAGATCGCGCCACTGCACTCCAGCCTGGGCGACAGAGCAAGGCTCCTTCTCAAAAAAAAAAAAAAATTTACTGTTATAGAAACAATATTAGAAAAATGTAACATTATTTGCAAAAGATTGAGAAAGCCACAAATACTATTACATACGTATTTTTAATTATTGTCAACAAAATGATTATTACTGCATATATCTTTTAGTGTTTGTCTATATGAAACATTTTTTCCATGGTTATAAGTATACTTTCCTTTTATTAATGACTGTTTAGTGGTTGCTCTTCTGCATTGTGCATCTCCTATACAGCAAGGATGACTCATAATGCAGTGTATGTAGTAGCATTGAGGATTGAGTTTGGAAGTGGTTTGCCTGGTTCAGATACTAGCTTTACCAGTTCTTCGTTATGTGACCTTGGGAAAGTTACTTAACTTCTCTATGTGTTAGCTTTCATACAATTAAAAGATAAAAAAGAACATATCATGTTTCAAAGATCATTGTGGAGATTCAGTTTGGTAATATATAGAAGCTGTGGTGGGTAGCACTTAGTGCTCATTAAATATTACCTATTACTGTTTTATTACAAACATTGTCTTTTATTATTCTGGGGGCACCTATTTTTAGTATATACCCAAATTATCAAATATGCCCTGAGTTTCTACTGTGTACCAAGTACTATGTTATTACCTGGGAGATATAAATGTGTACAAGGCATGGTCATAGTCCTAAGAAAGCTTAAAGTCTCATGTGGGGAATAAAGCAATATACAGATAATAGGTTACTATGGGGCTATGTAGAGAGTACTATAAAAACACAGAAAATGGGTATGGAATAGTAATGACTTCTGAATATTATTATATAAAGGATTAGTAATCTTTATATAATATTATATACAGGATTAGTAATAATAGCAAATACTATGGTCTAGAAAAAAAATGAAGCAAATAAAATGTGTTTATATCAATACAATTGGAGTATCTCTGCAGTGATGGGGGAAATAAGGAGAGATAAAACCAGAGAAATAAGCAGAGCCTACAGCAAAATGGACATTGGTAGTTCTGTGGCTATTCAGCATCCAGTTGTCTTCCTAAATTCCCTGATTTCCTTTTGGTGAATGATCTTTTATCAGTTTTTATAAGTCAGGGTCCAATTAAGAGACAGAAACCACACAGTTAGAGTGGAAGGGCTCTCTTTAGACAAGGTTAATTCTTCTACCTACTTACCTTCTTAGAGGCCTGGTTTGATCTGTTAATTCCTTTCCCTGTCATACTTTCAAAAATCACCATTACTATTGGTGACTATCCATTAGATTAATTATTCTTATAGCTTTTCTATTTCAAAAACATTTCTTCTGCCTGATGTGTCCCACTTTCTTCACAATCAAAATTCTTCATTTAGTGCCAGGCAGAAACAGTTCCTGAGAAAATGTGTTAGTGTAGGAATGAAGGTATAATTGATGAATGAATGAATGAATGAATGAATGAATACATAATCTACACTCCCTGTCTATAGTTTTTTACCTCTCACTAGCCAATCCACTGTGCTGTCTTATGTCCTTTCTACTCTAGTAAAACTGCTCTTGCAAAAGTCGTCATTGACATGTGTTACTAAATCCCAGGACACGTTTCAGTTATCTATCTTGACTTCTGTCCTGCATTTGAAATTTAAAATTCTGTTTTCAGCATTCTTTCCTCATAGTTTCTATTCTATCTCTTATTACATTCTTTGGTTTGAACTTGGCTTAAAACAACAATTAAAAGTTAAGGAAAATCTAGGACTAAAAGACTAGGACTAAAATCTAGGACTAAAATCTGGGACTAAGAAGGTTTTTAAAAATACTGAATATACTTATACTGAATGTACCACTTACTAGCTAAAGCATTTAGAGCTCAGGATTTCTATTAGGTCAGACCTAATAGAAATTAGGTAATAGAAATAGAAATTCTTTCCATTAGGTGTGACCTAATAGAAATCCTGAGCTGTAAGTGCTTTATCTATAAAATGAATATCGTATCTCCTGATTTGCTTGCACCACAGGATTGATGCAAGCAACAAATCAATAATGTATGTTTAAAGTCCTGTGTAGAAAATATGGAAAATAATAAATTGTTGTAATAAAAATATAATATAGTCACCTCTCTATATTGGTGAGTTCTGCATCCATGTATTCAACCAACTGCAAGCCAAAAATATTCAGAAAAAAAAACCCATTAAGTTTCAAAAAAGCAAAACTTGAATTTGAATTTGTTGTGCTCTGAGCACTACATTGAATCCACATGAAGTTATATATAGGCATTGTATTAGGCATTATAAGTAATCTAGAGATGACTTAAAGTATAGGGGAGGATGTGTGTAGGTAACAGGCAAATACTATGCCATTTTATATAAGGGAGTTGCTTCCATGGAATATGGTTATCTGCAGGGGATTCTGGTACCCAGGCCTCACTGATACTGAGGTATGACTGTACTGAGAACCTAATCACTTTCCTCAGAAGCATTGTGAATTAAAGAAGAGTTTGACCAGATCAAATCTGATCCTCTTTCTCAGTATCTGGTTATATCAGTTTGTCACAGGTTGCCTGTTGAACAAGATCTTAAATGCACTATTTGAAAACAAGAATTGGTATTTTTTTTTGCCCTGTAATAATTACAGAATCATATCCTATGCATAGCTGTATCCAGTGTCTAGCATACAGTTGTTGTCCCAATGAATGAATGAATTAATAAAAAAATGAATTCTGGGTTTCTGGTAAACTATGGGTTAAGGAATTATTTGTGTCCTAGATTTTTGAAAGTCATTTCCTTTAAGAAACAATGTTACCATTTTTTGTTTTCAAACAATATTACTTTGTTATATTTTCTACTAATTTTCATGGATCTGCAAGAAGACTCAGTAGAAAAATGGCTTCGACATCTATGTGGTCATATCAATCTGGAATGGGGAGGGTGGGAAAGCGAACCTCTGAAATATGAGCTAATTTCTCTTCTTCTTTTCTATTTTTAAAAAAGACTCCTTATTTTCTGCTGTGAAAAACTTCTCAGAGGCTGCTTCAGATTTTCATAAACGACTTATACAAGTTGATCTTAACAAGTAAGTTTCAAATCCCTTTTTTTTTAAAAAAAAAAAAAAAAGCAATCTGGTTACTAGAATGAACTGTTTCACTCATATTAGCATTAACCTCTAAATCACTACTATTCAAATTATAGTCTGCAAATCAGCAATAGCAGTAGTACCTGAGAACTTGTTAGAAAGGCAAAATATCAGACACCAACCAAGACATGCTGAATTAGAATTTTGCATTTTAACTACCACCCCCACCCCGCCCTTCAATGATTTATACTAACAGTAAAGTTTGGGGAGCACTGCTCTGAATGGTAGACTAAAAACTCATCCCAAAGAGACAAGGGCCAAAGGTACCTGTCATTAGGAGTCTGCATGATGAAAATTCTGACTACAGCTGTAAATTCATAGCTTTATGAGTTTAAGTGCGTTTGTAATATATTTTACTAGTTCTTTGTTCAGTACTCCTGTGTACCAGTTTAGAAATTCTTTTTTCATGGATAATTTTTTTTGCATTTTATTTAATTTCTTGCCACTTTCACATTGAAAATAGTTTCAAAGTACATTCAAAGTAAATACCATGTAACAAGCATAAATTTATCCACAGATGTGTCCATGTCACATTTATTTTTTCAGATGTAATCAGAATAAACTTTGCTACTTCCCATATTGGAAGAAAGCTATTATCAGTAGTTTTAAGGGACCTCATTCTCCTTTGGATTGTAGGGGAGCCCAGGGAACTTACTCAACTCCCCAAAGGGATAGTCTGAGTGTGACAAGGGATTCCCTATCCATTATGTGCAGCTATCTCTTACCCTCCTTACAGGCTTCTGAAACCTTCATTCACTCTTTGTTGTCCAGCCTGTTATCTGCTCCTTTTTTCAGCAGTAGAACCGAATGACTTATCAGGAATAACTTGATAGCTCACTTTGTCTGCCTTTCCAGGAGGCCTGGCTGTCCTCCTAGAAGTATAGAATGTCTTTGAGTCCCTTTTGATTGGTGTGTGATGTAAAAAAATATAACAAACGATTTTCCAATAGGTCTCTCTGCTGACTGTAAATATTAGAAAGATGACTCTGCTGTTTGTGGCTCACCATGTAAAGCATTACTGTGTTAATATTCATTTTGTTAAAAATTGATCAATTTTAGAAATATATTTTCCCAAGCCTTGTTTTTATTTAATATTATTTTTGAAGCATGATTCTGCGGTTTGCGTTATAATTATGTATATGTTCTTCTCGAAGTCCCATTGCAGTGAGAATGATGAATGACCAACTGATGCTCCTGGAAAGAGCATTCATCGATCCTCTTGGTTTACCAGGAAAGCTGTTCTATAGGTAAGGAAACAACAGGCGCCAAATACATCACTGTGACCAAAACCAGCATACCTAAAGTTGGCTTTAAACTAATGCCATTAGATGGGTGAAAGGCAAATATGTACACTCTAGGGAATTTGGGTAAGATTGTACATTTAATAATAGGTATAATACATATTAGAAAAATAAATTTCATATTGTTTATTGCTTTGCTGTGAGGGAAAATGGTAAAGGCTAGTTAAAAAAGAACTCTTTCTAACAAAATCTTCAAACTGTAGAATCTTAAAGGGAATTTTAGAGCTTATCTAGTTCAACCTTCTACATAATCCTTTTTATAGAATCTCAGATAAATAGTTATCCAGTCTCAGAATCTTTTAGTGATGAGAAGCTTACTACTTCATGAGGAGGCTCATTTCACTTTATGAAAGGTCTAATTATTAGAAAGTTTTCTTCATAAAGATTTAACATCTATTTTCCTGTAATATTTTTCTCTTTGAGTTTGTTCTGTTAAAGTCAAATAAAATAAGTTTAGCTCTATTTCCATATAGTATTTTAGGTTTTTGAGATGGTTCTCAACGATGGTTAGATTTCATTTTTCGGCGTTATGATGGTGCAAAGGCAATACACATTAAGTAGAAACCATACTTCAAGTACCCATGCAACCACTCTGGTTTTCATATTCAGTGTAGTATTCAATAAATTACATGAGATATTCAACACTTCATTATAGAATAGGCTTTGCATTAGATAATTTTGCCCAACTGTAGGCTAATGTAAGTGTTCTGAGCACATTTAAGGTAGGCTAGGCCAAGCTATGATTGTTGGTAGGTTAGGTATATTAAATGCATTTTTGACTTGTGATATTTTCAGTTTATGATGGTTTTATCAGAAAACAACTCATCTTTAAGTCACGAAGCCTCTGTATCCTATTTTCCTATCTGTATCTCTACATCATGTTCTCTTTCAGTATCTTGGCTGCATCCCTTTGGATGTTCTCCATTTTCTCAAGGTCCTTCTAAAACTGGTTCTCTGGTGGAAATTAGAAAGGTCCTAGCATTCAAAGCCAGAAAATCTATATTCTAGTTCACTTGCAGATGTGTGACTTAAAGCAAGTAACTTCTAGGGTTTTCCCATCCGAATTAAGATGATGATAATTGCTACTTTAAAGGCTATTTATCATCAAATAATATGCAAAAAAGGTTTATATGTTACCTTTCTTATAAATGTTAATGATTAATATTAACATTTAGATAATTACAAGCATACGCTTTTAGAACCCAGCTCTGCCACATACTTCACGTGACCTGGAAAAATTATTTTTCTAAGCTTCAGATCCCTCAGCTACTAAGTGGAGATTATAATTGCTTTTACTCAATAGGCCTGTAGATTTAAGGCCTGTAGAAGATTTAGCTCAAGAGGGATGCACTCAATAAATGGCAGCTATTTTTATAAATAATAAAAACACAAATGTTTGTTTCTTCATTGATGCAAATGAAATAGCAATGATCAATTATTTATATGGATCAAACAAAAGCCGAAAGCCGTATCTACAGTGTTTGTTAGTCCTCTCAGGTGTTGTTATTAGTCTATCTTTATATATTTATTTTCTATTTATTTATAAGAAATCTATATTTTGTCATTATTTTAAAAACTCAGGCTCTGTAGAAGCATATAAAATAAAAAGGAGCAGTGCTTCTTCAGCATTCCCCCCTTGCCCCCTACACCCAGTTCTTTATTCTCTTCAGTGAAACTCAATGTTGAGTTTGGTGTAAGTTTTAATGCACTTATATACATGTTTATATATGTATATAGTCAGCCCTCTGTATCTGTGAGTTCCACATCTGTTGATTCATCAACTGCAGATAGAATATATTTGAAAAAAAAATGAATGGTTGTGTCTGTACTGATTTACAGACCTTTTTTGGGTCATTATTCCCTAAATACAGTAAACAACTATTTGCATAGCATTTACATTGTATTAGGTGCTGTAAGCAATCTAGAGCTGATTTAAAGTATCTGGGAGGACTTGTATATGTCATATGCAAATAGTAAGCCATTTTATATAAGGGAGTTGAGCATCCTTAAATTCTGGTATCCAAAGGGGATTCTGGAACCAATCCCCCATGGATACTGAGGAATTACTGTATATACTTACATATACATTTATATATACATATATTACATTTATATACTATATATGCAAATATTTCCATAAAAGTGTACACACACAATATATAAACAATTTTTATTTACATAAACATCTATATTTAACATATTATAAATTTACATATGTAATCATTTATATTTACATGTATAAATATGTAAACCCATTTATATTTACATAAATAATGTATGGGACCATACGTTACAATTTTATTTTTTTCCTTAAGAATGTATCTTAGGCTGGGTGAGGTGGCTCACACTTGTAATCCCAGCGCTTTGGGAGGCTGAGAAAGGAGGATCGCTTGAGGCCAGGAGCTCAAGACCAGCCTGGGTAACACAGCGAGACCCTGTTTCTACAAAAAATTTTTTAAAGTAGCTGGTGTAGTGGTGCATGCAATCCTAGCTACTTGGGAGGGTAAGGCAGGGGGATTGCTTGAACACAGGAGCTTGATGTTACAGTGGAGCTATGATCATGCCATTGCACTCCAGCTTCGACAATCTCTAAGATTTTTTTTCATTTTTTTAGATAAAAGATTTGACTCTTGTGAAAATATCTACCTCTTACTGAATTTCAGATTAGGATTTTTCCACAATTATTTACTATTATGAAAAGTAATGGCATTGTATGGATGTCCTTGAGTCCTATTTGAACATTTGTTAATATCTCTATAATCAGGACCTGGGATTTCAGGGTGAAAGGGTAAACACTTTTTTTTTTTTTTTTATATACATTTAAAATTTTATTTGTTTTCACAGAAATGAGCAACTTGTACAGCCATATTTGCCTTTTCTGGCTCATTGGCTTTTGATCACATCTCATGACTTTTTGAGTCCATGATATTTTGCTTACACTGAAGAACTTGTAATCTTTTTTTTTTAAATTTATTTATTATACTTTTAAGTTTTAGGGTACATGTGCACATTGTGCAGGTTAGTTACATATGTATACATGTGCCATGCTGGTGCGCTGCACCCACTAACTCGTCATCTAGCATTAGGTATATCTCCCAATACTATCCCTCCCTCCTCCCCCCACCCCACCACAGTCCCCAGAGTGTGATATTCCCCTTCCTGTGTCCATGTGATCTCATTGTTCAATTCCCACCTATGAGTGAGAATATGCGGTGTTTGGTTTTTTGTTCTTGGCGATAGTTTACTGAGAATGATGATTTCCAATTTCATCCATGTCCCTACAAAAGACATGAACTCATCATTTTTTATGGCTGCATAGTATTCCATGGTGTATATGTGCCACATTTTCTTAATCCAGTCTATCATTGTTGGACATTTGGGTTGGTTCCAAGTCTTTGCTATTGTGAATAATGCCGCAATAAACATGTGTGCATGTGTCTTTATAGCAGCATGATTTATAGTCCTTTGGGTATATACCCAGTAATGGGATGGCTGGGTCAAATGGTATGGGGAAAGGATTCCCTATTTAATAAATGGTGCTGGGAAAACTGGCTAGCCATATGTAGAAAGCTGAAACTGGATCCCTTCCTTACACCTTATACAAAAATCAATTCAAGATGGATTAAAGACTTAAACGTTAGACCTAAAACCATAAAAACCCTAGAAGTAAACCTAGGCATTACCATTCAGGACATAGGCATGGGCAAGGACTTCATGTCCAAAACACCAAAAGCAATGGCAACAAAAGACAAAATTGACAAATGGGATCTAATTAAACTAAAGAGCTTCTGCACAGCAAAAGAAACTACCATCAGAGTGAACAGGCAACCTACAAAATGGGAGAAAATTTTCGCAACCTACTCATCTGACAAAGGGCTAATATCCAGAATCTACAATGAACTCAAACAAATTTACAAGAAAAAAACAACCCCATCAAAAAGTGGGCGAAGGACATGAACAGACACTTCTCAAAAGAAGACATTTATGCAGCCAAAAACACTTGAAAAAATGCTCATCATCACTGGCCATCAGAGAAATGCAAATCAAAACCACAATGAGATACCATCTCACACCAGTTAGAATGGCAATCATTAAAAAGTCAGGAAACAACAGGTGCTGGAGAGGATGTGGAGAAATAGGAACACTTTTACACTGTTGGTGGGACTGTAAACTAGTTCAACCATTGTGGAAGTCAGTGTGGCGATTCCTCAGGGATCTAGAACTAGAAATAGCATTTGACCCAGGGTAAACACATTTTTAAATTTGATTAGGTTACTACCAAACTGTCCTCCAAAGACTACCATATTTTTAAAAATGCACTTTGAACTATTAGCTGAATGTTAAGATTATATTCTAATGCTAATTCATATTATTATGTTTTAGTCTACTGCAGTAGTATGGAAATAAGTTCTTCCTTCATGATCATAAGGATTACTTTATGGATTGATATGACATATTGCATATGCACACTTTTTCCAATAACTGCTAAGATAAATGTAGCTATAATAGCAATTCCAGCTACCCAGAATTTCTCATTTGTCTTAAAGAATTTATTTCAAAATTATTTTTTCCTCATCCAGCAATGTATATCAGGTTAAAAATGATCTTGTAAATCTTATAAAACCTCTAAGAGTAAAAACTTTCAGTACGTATAATGGATCAATGACATTTTTAAGATCTGCTATTTTATGAACCTCAAGAATGGAGAGATTACCAAATCTGTAGTGTAATAAAATTGTTCTACCATGTAGAATTGATAGACTAAGAAAATTAGACTAATCTGATGTATGTATGTATAGCCATTATATATATATGTACATTACATATGTATGTATTGTTAAAACAAAAACATTAGCCAAATTATATTTAACAGACTTTAATTGAGCAAAGAATGATAGACTCAGAGAGACTCCAGTGCAGCCACGTGATGGATGAAGAGTTACAGACAGAAAAAGGAAAGTGACATACAGAAAACGGAAATGAGTAACAGAAACAGCCAGACTGGTTACAGCACAGAATTTACCTTATTTGAACAGTTTGAACTGACCCCTTTAATTGGCCAAAACTTGGTGATCGGCACAAGAGTAGACTCAGTCTGTTGACAACTCCATTTAGGTTATAGTTCACTATGTACAGAGAAACCTTTAGGCTGAACTTAAAATATTTAAGGAGGCAGCTTTAAGTTAAACTTGATTTAACAGTTGAGATTCAGTAATGAATAAATCAGAAAACATTGTACATATTTTAAAATAAAATGTTAATGTGGAACATATAAAACATTCTTCTTAAAATTCAGAAGTATAACTAAATGTTTATTGTGAATAAAAAACGTGTCTTAGTCCATTCCTGCTGCTATATCAAAATACCTGAGACTGGGTAATTTATAAAAAACAGAAATTTATTCCTCACAGTTCTAGGGGCTGGGAAGTACAAGATCAGTGTCAACCAATTCAATGTTTTATGAGCACCTGTCCCATATATGGTATTTTTCTCAGGGCGTCCTCAGTTGGCAGAACAGATGGAAGGGCTAGCTAGCTTTCTTCATTCTCTTTTATAAGGGCTCTAATCCCTTAATACTGTCACACTAGAAATTAAGTTTCAACATACGAATTTGGGGAATGAACACATTCAGACCATAGCAGCATGCTTGATAAATTTTGCAAACTTAATTATTTTTGAGTTGTGGGTAATATATTGTAACTATCACAACAAAGGCAAATAAGTAATAAATCCTTATCTACCACTGAGCTCATTTTCTATATTCTATTACTCCTCGTTTTTTCCCTAATGAAAGTTCCACAAAAATTAATTGCTCTGTGTGGTAAGCATAATAATGGCCTCCCAAAGATCTCTATT
Source organism: Homo sapiens (assembly GCF_000001405.40). Lineage (NCBI taxonomy): Eukaryota > Metazoa > Chordata > Mammalia > Primates > Hominidae > Homo > Homo sapiens. Next base: position 95,042 of record NW_019805497.1, read on the forward strand.
TTCTAACCCCAGAACCTTTGAATATGTTAGGTTACATGACAAAGAGGAATTAAGGTGGCAGATGGATGAGTCACACTAATCAGCTGAGTTAAAATAGGGACAGTATTCTGAATTATACTGGTGGTCCCAATGATGCAGTCACAAGGGTCCTTAAAAGTCTTCCTGTAAGAGGCAGGCAGGAGAGAAAGTTAGGGTGATGCCATTGCGAAAAGACTCATCTAAAATGCAGTTGCGGATTTTGATGGTGGAGGAATGTGGTAGGCCTCTAGAAGCTAGAAAAGCAAGGAAAAGGATTCTCCTCTAGTGCCTCCAGGAAGGAATGTGACCCTGATCATACCTTGATTTTAGCTTGGTGAGACTTATGTCAGACCAACTGTAAGATAATAAATTTTTTTAAGCCACTAAGTTGGTGGTAATTTGCACAGCAGCAATATAAAATGAACACACTCTGTAATGGAATCTAAAAAGGATTAAATAAAGCTTCCTTTTTTGCAAACATCAAGTGAAATACTGTAAAAGTCTTTAAAAGCTGCAAAGCATTTAATTATGAAATTCTAGAAACATTTGTGGCCGGGCATGGTGGCTCACGCCTGTAATCCCAGCACTTTGGGAGGTTAAGGCGGGTGGATTACCTGAGGTCAGGAGTTTAAGACCAGCCTGGCCAACATGGTGAAACCCCATCTCTACTAAAAATACAAAAATTAGCCAGGCGTGGTGGTAGGCACCTGTAATTCCAGCTACTCGGGAGGCTGAGGCAGGAGAATTGCTTGAGCCCAGGAGGTGGAGGTTGCAGTGAGCCGAGATCATGCCACTGCACTCCAGCCTGGGCCGACAGAACGAGACTCTATCTCAAAAAAAAAAAAGAAATTTTGCATTATCACAACTCATCAGTGAATACTTACTATGTACTGAGGGGAAGGTTGAGGAAAAAAGACTATGAAGTGTTGACCATATTCTCTAGTCTGCTCAGTAGTTCTTGATGCCTCTTAAAAATTCAGAAATGTCCATTGTGGAGGGTAATTAAATCATCATATACTTGAAACCTTGAGAACTAGACCAGAGTTTGAATTCTTATGGGACTAGAATAGCTATTTGAGTCCACCATTTCATAAAAGGGTATTTGAGTTGCTTAAGCATTACCAATTGTCTGATCATTTCTTTTAGCTTGCTGCCTGCTTCTTATCTGAGAAAATTAGGGAAAGGATTTAGTTTCAGAATAGCTAATATTTACTGAACACCTATTAAATGTCAAGCTATGCTTTTCATCCAACATTTGATTCTCACAATTCTTTTAGAACAGTACTTTTATCACCATCATTTTTAAGATAACAGGCACAGGGAGGTTAAATAACCAGTGCAAGGCCACAAGGCTGATAGTTGATAGTATTCTGTTGATAGTAAATATGCTAGTATTCTGATTTTTAAAAAACAGGCAGTCTCAGTCTACAACCTGCTCAGTCACTACTCTAAGCAGAGTCTACATTATTTCAATTATTTTACAAATCTGGGACAAATTTAGACAACTTAGGCAATTTGCCAAAGGTCACTGAGATATTAAATGCCATATCAATGATTCAAAGGTTATTCGCTTCCTATATCAAATTTTTTTTGCTATATTCTTCCTTTACAATTCTCCAGAAGAGGGTAAGTATACTAAGGAATATCTATGACTTGCATCTCTAATTTCTTGACTCATATACAGGTCAGGATACCAATGCTTATAAACAACTTAGCACATAAACTGATTTTAATTTTAAAAAAATCCATCTGAGGCCATATTAAGATTTAAAAGCCAAGATAATAAATCCTGATGTACTTTGGTAAATCTGAATGATGAGTGTTATAGATTTGTCATTAATCATTAATCATTAATACTGACTTATATGGAGCTCTATATTGCTTCATACAGATTTACTCTAGAATAAGCTTTGGGGTTTGACTGTTGGACCTAATTCCTGATGTATTAATAAAATACATCCCTTTCTGGAAAGCAAAATTCTACGTCATTATTGCGGAAAGTAGCTTGATCCCTTGAGCTACTTATGTTGAAGTAGAAAAGCAACTATAAAACTTTCTTTTTAGATCAAAAGTTGAGTGTCTTTGCGGGCAACCCACATATAACTGTCTTACCTTTGTGGAATGGACGTCATTATCCTTGCCATTTGTAACACTTTGAAATACAGGCTTCTTTAATTACTTGTTTTTTAATGTCTAAAAAGTATTGGGAACAACTGTCATTCTTGTTTAATCTATTTTTAAAAGGCAACACAAAAATAAATTATCTTTCTCAATCTCCTCTTACTAAAAACATCCATAAACTTACATGTTATCACCATATTTGTGGATGCTTACGGGACGCTGAGCAATTATTCTGCACAACTTAAAAGAACCTGCTTTCTTCCATCTGCTTTGGGTTCGCAACATGGTATATGATTCCTGAGATATGTCTTAGCGAATGCATATTGTTAGCTTCTTTCCTGGCTTGAAATTATGATTCGCATAAGTATCTCAGATCAACTGTCTTCTTATTATAGGAACAAAAGTGAGTATCACAAGGAAACATCATGTGGTCTAAACAAAAAGCATGCAAAATGCATGTATACACTTTAGTTCAATTTGCCTTGTTTTCTTCCTTTTAGGCACATCATATTTGCTCCAAGTAGCCACAACAAATATGCTGGAGAATCATTTCCTGGAATCTATGATGCTATCTTTGATATTGAAAATAAAGCCAACTCTCGTTTGGCCTGGAAAGAAGTAAAGAAACATATTTCTATTGCAGCTTTTACAATTCAAGCAGCAGCAGGAACTCTGAAAGAAGTATTATAGAAGGTCTCAAGTGGCTAGCCATTAAAGGTGTTGCTAAAAGTCTGAGGATAAAATTCACCTTTCTGATAACTTATGAAGCCAGGGTGTTCTAAACTCTTTTCATGTCATGTTTTGATTATAGGCTTTGGTCTTTTCATCTGCAAAGCCTTTTTTTTTTGCTCTTTAAAAGTTAATAATTATATTAGCAAAGTGTTAATCTAATGAAGTAAAAAACTCCTGTGTGGCAGAAAGTAAAAGAAAATTCCCTAAATTATAGCAAGGAACATGAATTCTCAGACATTGTGAGTGTGGGAATGTAAAATGGTAAAATCACTTTTGAAAACAGTTTGGCAGTTTCCTATAAAGTTAAACATACACTTTTACTTTAGGACTCCAGAATTCCACTTCTAGTTATTTATTCAAGAGAAGGAAAAACAATGATCACAGCAATACTTGTATGCATGTTCATTGCAACTTAAAAGCGTAAAAACCCCAAATGTCCATCCACAGACGAATGTATAAACTGTGGTATCCATTACACAATAGACTACTTACTACTCAGCAATAAAAATGAAGTAACTTTCAATAAATGCAATATTATTGGCAGACATTGTTGAAGGAAAAAAGCCAGACAAACAACTACATAAAATATGTTTCTATTTAGATGAAGTGGCAAACTAATCTGTAGTGTTAAAAATTAGATTAGTGATTGCCTGGGCCAAGTGGCAGGTTGGGGAGGATGGCTGCAAAGAAGTATGAGGAAACTTTCTCCAATAGATGAGAATTTTCCGTATCTTGATCTGAGTGGCAAATTGTAAACTTAAAATATATATAAAATTTATTGTATGAAAATTAAGCCTCAATAAACGTGATTATAAAAAACAAGTCTGCAAGGAAACCAGAATCATATACCTTCTCTTGTGAAATCACCATGAAGTGTGAATGGTCAGGAAAAAGCCAGTAATATTCATACATTTAATAATTTCAGCTCTACTGAATAAACATATAAGTCTGATGGGTGATGAAAATAGCTACTACAATCTTCATATTCTAACTCCTATAAAGACTGTATATCAGAATCTGCAAACTTTTATGCAGATCCCAGTGACTCAATTACATGTTCAACTATGATTAAAGCTTCAATAAACTTGGTTGTTCATCTACTTCACCAAAACGAGTTAAGAATTAAAAATTAGAAGAGCCTTCATAGGCAAGTACAATAACTAAAATAAGAAATGACAGCTCAAAGCTTAACTACAAGGAAAAACTACCCATTACCCTTGCTCCCAGGCCAACAATACAGTTTAACTTAAAACAGTGGGGGCATTTAGTTTAGGGGCATTTTCTATACATCTCAGTATTACTAGAGGGTATTTCACTGATCCCCCACAATAAAATAAGTTGCAAGTATAGCAATGACTCTGTCATCAAGGTAACTTTTAAATATGTTCCATTCCTTCTGCTTAAAGAGGCAATAAGGTGTGCTATTTATGAAGTATAAATATACACAATTAAGACTTTTGTAAAAGGGAGTTAACTTTACTACCACGCTACACTACCAAAGTATAACACTTTAACTTTTGCCTTGAAGCACTGTGTTGTAGAAAATATACTGCATTAAGACCCATGAATCATACTATCTACTACCCAACTGAGTAGATCACTACGTATCTCTGGGCATCAGTTCCCTCCAACTCTATCATTTCTAAAGGAGACAAAGCACAAAGGTTTAGAAATGTCTTGGGTGTTCTTCCTACTGGTAGTTTTCCTGAAGACAAATGCGAGCTGCCAGAACAGCATATTTGGTCTGAAATATGAGTTTGGAGTAAAATAGTAATTATTGCAATTTAATTTTTCCTTTAATTCTTGTTTTTTTTAATCATTTTTAATCAATATCTGATTGTTAGCAACAGAACAAGTGATTGTGTGGCATGCACTATAATCAATTCAGGATATTTAATATAGAATATGTGTTATCACATGTTAAATAGGGCATATGTTTGAACTTTTTAAAAAAACTTTTCCCCTAAGCATTTGAGATCAGCTGAATTAAGCTGCTAATCATTATTCCCCTTTGATCTCATTCCTTGGTCCAAGTCCTGAGAGAGATACTGTTCCTCTTAAGGATACTTACGAAATAATGACATGGAAATATTTTGCTTGTCACAGTATATTGCCTGTTTTAAGACCTACTTTTAAAATCAAATAAGCCATAAATTCTTATTGTAATGCCATACTTTTAATCATTTAAACTAAATGTTTAATCAGAAGTTGTCTAATATAAAAACTAGTAAAAAAGCACGTGAAATGTATATACTTTAACCAAGAAATTCTAAAAATTGGTTTCTATAGAGAAAACTGGACAGAATGACAATGTATGTGACACAAAGGTGTTTACCACAGCATTTTTTATCACAGTAAAAAATAGTAAAAAAAAAAAATCACAAGCTAAATATCAATGGAGAATTGATTATAGTATAATATAAAAATGATCATACAATGATCATATATACATTTTTCACTTATATAGTAAGTTGTCCATGACTTACTGGTTAAAAAAAGTGATAAAACTAAATATATGAATATCAAACAAAATACAAATAGTGCTTGCATTTCGGTGGTAGACTTTTATGTGACTTGTACTCTGTACTGAATTGCTAAAATTTTTTACATCATATTCCCTTTTATAAGGGTTAAAATAATATAATAACTACTGTTTTCATTTTGAACAGACAAAAGTACAGAGTTCTGGGATACAATACAGTTCACAAATAGTAATCCTATTTTGTACCCTTGAAATTTATTAGTTTATTCTGAGGATACAAATAACATTTATATATGCACACATGAGCCATCTTAATATTTCCATTTAGTTCAGAATTTCAAAAATATCAATCGATCCTTGAACTTTCAAGTATAGAAATGAGTTTAGGGTAAAATAGTAACCTTTGAAATAATTACAGTACTGTATTAGATTTGTCTTTTTCTTTAATTGCTTAACTTCATGAACTCATTTGTTTTTTTCTTTTTAATTTTTATTCATCTACTTTTTCCAATCCCCAATGTGATTAAATTCAGAAGAACAGTATCTTTCAAGTAAATGATGCAAAACTTCCTTTCACATCATCTCACGTCCTTTCCCCCTTTGTATTAGTAGATAATTATACTATCTACAGCCAGAACGATCTTCCTAGACGTGATCATGCTATGTGCTATGAAAAAAACCTTCAATGGGGACCTCCACTACCGAAATGATGTGGTAGTACTGGCAGTCGCTCCCAGGTGCAGTAACTAGGAAAAAATGGATCAAATGCAAAATACATTACAGATACGAAAGAGCTGTGGAAGCGCTTAAGACTAGATGTACTAAAAGTCTTTGTCTTTTCTACATAGCTGAGACTACCAACTGTTTTCTTTCCTGGCATCATTTGCCAATTCTAGGCATGGATTAAAGATCAGGCTTTGTGTGGACTAAAGCACTTTACTGGGGAAAATCAGCAGGACTTTTACTGACTGCATGATCTATCATGATGTACTAGAATCTAGAGGAGCCCTAAACCCAATACTGAGTGAGACTAGAACTTAGGGGCTAGGCAAACAAGTTTTCTTAACAGGCCAATACCACCTCTCAATGCCAGGCTTCTTCATATCCTATTCTTTCTCCCATTTCCTCTCTTGTATTTGGCCACTTCTATCCTTTTTTCCCCCCTCAGGACTCTGCTATTTATCCTTCACGAAATCCATCCATAAAATCTACCAAATACGCACCACAGAAGCTTTCTACAGGCTTATCTTTGGCATAATTTTTATTTAACAACCTCTTATTTTCCTTGTTGTATCCTTTCTTGGAAGTGGAGTCTTTAATTATCTCCAGCACATAGGAAGTGACCTGAGTGCTGAATAAAAAATAAGCAATGGAATCGCTACATTAAAGATGCTTACAAACTTTTATTATCAATAAAATCTATAAATTTTACACCTATCAACTCAGAAAAATTCACTGGGAGGAGAAAAACTATTAAAAAGCCTAACTTCAAATGAACTCAAACTTTCCTGCCAAATCATAAATATGAAAAGTAAATCATCCATGTATGCTAGAGGATCTCTCTGGGAGAAGTGTCCTACAATTTATAACATTTTACAAGTGGTTAAATCCATTAAAACTTCAAAAACTTTTAGATTGTCTTTCTCCTGTAATGTGATATCTTCCCTAACTTGCTAAAACTGAGAACCCAGCTAGCTTTACATAACTGAAATGATTGAATTTGTTTGCCTAATACACTAATATTTGATTTTAATGAATTATCTCACTCCCACAAAGTGTCTTATGTTAGCTGCCTTCATACGTGGCCTTTTAATCATCCACATCTAAGAATACTGAGATGCAAAAATTGCTCAGAGTCCAGATGATAATAAGGCTAAGTTTATTTCTAGGCACAAGCATTTAGAACAAACTGCCTGCAAGGGACAAATTTACCGCCATGGGCCTTTTACTTTCACTTGGTCTTACAGCTGCAGAATCCATCCCTAATTTTTGTCAACTGCCCATTGGCCTTTTAGAGGTTCTTAGTAAGAAAATCAATGGCTGAACTAACTACTGCGAAAACTGAAAGCACATTATCTTCTCATGGTAATTAAGTCATTTAATTAATATTAGGAAATAAAGGAATAAGCACTAATAAATGGCCATTTAGATTCTGGGTTTTGCGTGGTGACTTAGATGTCTTCAGTTTCATGGTTAAGAGTGTAAGGACTTTGGAATCAGTTTCTAATTTTAAAATTAAATTTCATCATTTGCTATCTATGTGACCCTGGAGGCAAGTTATGCCCCTTTCCTTTGCCTACATTTCTCCATCTGTAAAATACAGGTTATACTGTAAATAATCATGGTGATGTTCTGAAGAGAAAAGCTATCATAAGCACTTAGCAAAGTGTTTGGCACATTCTAATTATGCAACAAAAGCTATCATCATGTCCACAGCTTCAAGTTACCTCTTGTAACTAACACTTCCTAAATTCCTATGGCTAAATTACAAATTTCTACTCAAGTGAATTAAGTCCTGTGATTAGACACCTACTTTCCCTGAAGGTTTTAAAATTATCTTCAGATTCTGGCTTTCATTTGTCTTCCCAATGGCTTTCTGTTCCCTTAAATTTGTCCTCCATCTCTGCCCCCAATTACTCAGCTCTTTCCTACAGAGGATTTTAAGTAGCTTTACTGGGGGTATGGTAGAAAGAGAAAGGGGACTTGAAGGAATCTTTAAGGCATCAAAAATAGTCTAAGTTGGCCTCAAATATGAACTGAGTAGTCTGGGCTCAATCTGTTACTGGAATTCAGCTTTCTTTAGTAGGAAGCCTTTGAAGGTTTTACATAAAATTATAATGATCCCATTTATTACTATCAGCCTAAAGAACCATTTAAAATTTGTGAATTTTCTTGACACAATTTCCACATTTTTCTGTACCTTAAGAATGTATCATGCCTAGTTTTATCAATCATGTTTTATCACTGATACTAACAGAATCAAGGGTCTGTGGTACATTTATTTTGCTTTTGCCCATCCAGCCTTCCTTGCCCATTCTGGAAAAAGAATGTTTTCAATAAGGGGACCCATTACAGATGGTTTGGGTGGCACACTGAGTATTTAGCAGGTGAGCCTAAATACTCCTTTATTGGATTTACTTATTCCCATGCTTGTGTACTGCTACTTACATCACAATCAAAAGCAGGGATTACCAGTTTTTTGAATTAAAACAAGATGCCCTCAAAGTTCAGAGTGCTATGAATGTTGCAACCTCAAAGTTAGCTAGTGAATTTACATTACTGCCTATTACGACTCTAAATCCTGAGAGCCAGAAAAGGCCTATGAGCCTCAGATCTTACAAATAGCCTGGAGTACTTCTTGAGGATTTGTAAACATTCCTTGGACTCAGCAGTCCCTTGAGAAAATCATTTCCTCCAAAATCTGTGTCTATATTCTCTATCTTGTTTAAGCTCTCCCTCCATTCCCAAACCTAGGAATCATCCTAAATTTTCATCTAGACCCTAATTCAAGATCCTCAGTCTCTCTTCTCTTCCTACTGCTTCTGCTGTATTTCATGCCCTCATCCTAACTGGTCTGTCTCTACACCAACTCTAATTGTTCCCTTCTATCAAAGCTAAACTTGATGCTGTTTTACTGGATGTTTTATCTAACACAGAGGTAAGAATTATTATTTACGAGCTACATATCACTATCAAAATGGCAATGAAAACTTTTGTGCTTTTTGCAGTAAGGATTCTGAAACTTCAATTTGGAGGCTGTTAAGAAAAACTAGAGACCCTAAGAGTCATCAAATCACAAGTGATGAATTGGCTATTATATCCAAAACCATCCAGGCAAAATTACTACATAATTTTATAACTTTACTAACACAACAAAAAAATTGTTCCTGGTTACCAAACACATTAAGAGTTTTCCATGCTATATGCCCATGTTATATCAGAAGCAGCACAGAATAGTGGTTAAGAGCATGGAACAACACAGAGGCAGGCTGCATGAGTTTGAAATCTTTATACCACAACTCATTAGTCTGAACTCTGGATAAGCTACTTAACCAATGTCATAAAGTCAGTTTCCTCATCTGTAATATAAGAATAAAAAAACCCACCTCACAGCATGGTAAAGAAGATTAACAAGTTAATCATAAAAATAAAATCTGAATAAATATGAAACTGCAAAATGAAATAAGCAAAATGAAGAAAAGGATCAGGGTGTTTAAAAATATTAATACATCCATCTAACCTCTTTACTGAACGAGGGGAAAGTGCCTCAAGTTCAGGGAGGTTTCCCTTTTCCAGACTCAATCACTGATTTTACTTTTATTAGCAAAGTTTTTAAAAAATAATTTAAACATTTAAGCAGCATCTCTGCCTAATGAAAAAGGAATGGCAAATTGAATTATTTTGACACATAATCTTTAAGAAACATAAAAATGTTTAAGGCTGGAAGTTATATTTCTTTTCAATGGACATTAAAGGTGACCCACTAAACGGAAAAACTAAGAAAAGTCATTGAGTTTTTAGTGAAAACATGGTCTTCAGAAAAACTGTTCTTAAAGATAATCTTCACAATGAAGAATTCTGTTAAAAAGTTAAAGAACATGCAGAAGAAAACCTCTGCAAGCCTGGTATTTTAGAGATAGTGCCATATGTATAAAGCCATAGGCATATACGTAACTGAAGAAGGCAAGCCATCCAACACCACCAGATTAAGTTGTTAAGATACCTGGGCAGTAGGGAAGCAGTCAGGGATAATTAACAACAACAACAAAAAACCTATCAAACAATCAAAACAAATGAAACAGAAAACCCTATTAACAAAACCTAAAAACAAGCTGGGCTTAATAGCTTGCATTTCAAAACTGAGGCCATGGAATTATACTGGTGAAAACAAAGTAAATAACAAATATGAATGCCAAGTCAAAATAATTTGCCATAAAAGATGAACAACAAAAAAAAACCCTGTTAATGTTCAAATAGATAATTTAAAAGTACCTGACTGCTAAAAACAAAATTTACAGAGTACATACCCATATATCCTAAAAGGGACACCAGCCCTCATAAATGAGCTTTTAAGAGTTTACTTGGCCGGGCGCGGTGGCTCACGCCTGTAATCCCAGCACTTTGGGAGGCCGAGGCGGGCGGATCACGAGGTCAGGAGATCGAGACCATCCCGGCTAAAACGGTGAAACCCCGTCTCTACTAAAAAAAAAAAATACAAAAAATTAGCCGGGCGTAGTGGCGGGCGCCTGTAGTCCCAGCTACTTGGGAAGCTGAGGCAGGAGAATGGCGTGAACCCGGGAGGCGGAGCTTGCAGTGAGCCGAGATCCCGCCACTGCACTCCAGCCTGGGCGACAGAGCGAGACTCCGTCTCAAAAAAAAAAAAATAAATAAATAAAAAAAATAAAAAAAAAAAAGTTTACTTACTGTGAGTATACGCATGACATAAATTTTCAGGCTGAGGAATAACTGATTAAAAAAAAAAAAAAAATTGGGAGTTCGGAGAGGGGAAATAACTCAAAGTCCCTTTAAAATATTTGCAAGAACTCTTTAAGTTTCTCTACACTTTGATGGTTGAATAATTTTCTGAAGAAAATTCTTAATTAAATCCTTGCATAAAATATAAATTAGAATAAAGTAAAATCATTACAGTCCTTTGCCAGTATAGTTACACCAAGAAGTTACATCTTCAACCTATAAACATTTGTTGATTCCTAATCATATCTTAATTGTTTATAAATTACTGGCTTAAATTATTACCAAAAAAGTAGGACAAGTCTTAAGACCTTGAAGAATTCCACTAAAAACAGATGGTAAAAATAAAATGTTCTACTTTAGTTAATAGTATTATACAAAGGTTAATTTCTTAAGTTTTATAAATGTTCTATGATAACGTAAGATTTTAACATTAAGATTAATATAAGACATAAAGAACTGTTGTATTTTTACAACTTTTCTGTAAACCTAAAACTAGGTCAAAGAAGTTAAATAAAGGCTCAGTTTATTAGGATCTTACTTCCTTTATACTAGTAAATGTGCTATGAAAGAAAAATAGCATTTTAGGTTTCCCATCTTTAGTTACCAAGTATATATATAATATACCTAACTTTGACTGCTTTGCTATAGTAATTATTTTTAATGCTAAAAAAGACAAAGCAAATTTCTAGAGAAATAAATCAATAAGCACTTTTTATTAACTTTTTTGACAAACCGATAGTAAAACATATGCTACCTAACGATAACTGTGTCCCTTTATGTATGAGTCTAAGAGAAATATTCGGATTTTTATCTGGACAAGAAATTCAAAGGCTCCTTAAGAAGAAAGTAAATACCATGGTCACTAATGTAACCAGACTAAATATAAAAGCTACATATGTATGTGTGTGTGTGTGTGTATAAATCAATGTTTTGATCAATGTAACTAATCTGAGGTTACAATAACTCACTGCTTCAAATAATATTTCAATTACATGTAACAGATTAAGATACTGTTTAGGGGAAAACAGCCTCAGAAGGAAGTATGAACAAAAAGGGATATTAATCATTACCTTTAATCAAACTAATTATCAACCTTTCCCCCAACCCATAAAGACTTCATGTCTCTAAATGGTTCCTAAATCATGGAAGATAACTTGAAAAATTTTAAATACATCTCCAGGTATCAGATGCTTATGTACTCCATGTGGGTCCAACTTTTACTGCCCAGAGTTTCTTGTCATGGTAATGTAACATCATGAAAGTCTGGTTGCCAGATCTTTATGTTTTTATTTGTAACAGAGCTAAACCTTTTAACAATTATATTAACTACAACTAAGTTATTTGCTAATGGTAGTAGAATGATACATATGTTTTATTCACGAAAATAGTACTTCTGCAAATTTTTCTTTGTAAGAATTCCATAAATACCAAGGAAAAGAAAAGACTCAAGGGGTTTGGGAAATAAACCCCTTTTAATTTTAAATCTACATAAGTTTAATTTATTCCCAAACTTTCTAAGTTCTTCCAGAGTTCTGGCCTTCAGAATATTTCCTAATTTTTCTTCTTGAGTTCTGCACTAACTCAAAACCTATCCAAACGATCTAATTCTGTATTACCTATATTTAATATAAAGTACAATATATAGTCAACATTGTATCACTAGAATTGTGAAGCTCTTCATGACTTTAAAAAAAAACTCCAAAACAATTAAGCTATTTTTATTTAACATGTAATAGTCATAAAGCAACTCCATATATTTAGTTTTCTGATATCCTAATGTATTTCCACAAACCTTTTAAGTCTACAATTTTATATAGTTTTCCATCAGGGAGGCAAGATATATATAATTTCTTTTTATATTTAACTAAAGGTTTTAAGAGGGCTTAGTCTCTAAATCAGTAACAATTAGTCATAACACCATACAAACACATTTAAATATTCAGGAAAGAGGTTGTTAAGATTATTGCTTAGTCTTATAAAATGGTGAATTTTAACCAAATTGATACCTCTGTAATCTTATTTATGTTTCCTATAACATCATACTGCTTGGCAAGTAATGTAAGTTTTGACATAATTTAAAAATTCAAGTAGTTGTAAACAAATTCTAATTTGTTAAACAATTCATATATTCCCCTTTAGTTACTATACTACCTCAGAATTAATCCTCCTTAAAAAAGTAATCATCCCACATAGAAAAAACTGCAGAGCTTCATCTCTTCCTTAAATATTTTCAAGTACTGTAAGAACACAAATCCATGAAAAAACTGATTAAAATTTGACATTTCATCTTGCTTTACTAATTATGGAATAATACAAAAACATAAAAAAAATGTTCCTTAATATTTCTTTGCTTAACAGAGAAATACAAAGAAATACTGCAATTATGGTTATGGGCTACTTTCCAGCCTCTTCAAGTATAGGACACAACTATGGTTCCTACCAGTAGGGAGAAATGAATAATCAATCTTACATAACACAAAAGAAAGATGAGAGGCACAAAAAGACAAACTGACTTTGGCTTTTAAGAACCTAATGTTAACCCTGAAATGCCACATTCAGTAACACAACAACAAAACAAAAGATTACAGCAGCAAGCCACCACTTCACACAGTATTAAAAATTCGGAAATAATGTAATAGCCTTCCTTCCATCTCCCACTCAATCTGTTGTGGCATCTTTTTGTTTTTCCTGCTTTTTAGCTGCAGGCAGTTCAAGGCTTGCCCACTGCATCGGTTCAGCTTTTCTCATAGTGATTTCAATCTTTGTTGCAGTCATAGTTACATAACTTCGCTTTACATCAATCACCTGTAACATATCAAAGAGAATTACAGGAAACCTCAGTAGTTTTATTAGTCTCAGAGGAAAACATCAGACTTGCTTATGCCAATAATCCCAAATCCAAGCTTCTAAAGGCCTCTTTTATATCTAGTCTTAAACTTTTTGGTAGGATACACTGTTAAGTTATACATCTATACTTTGCATCAATGTTTACTGAAGAATTGTCTTTTATTCTACAAATGATCTAAGTTATCAGAAAAAAAATTCTTATAAATTTGTAATACTTACACCCCATAATTTCACATTTTGATCAAATTCCTTCTCTCCTTCAAATACAATATGCACATTTAACTGAAAAAGATATACACAGTTAATTGATCTAATTCAAACTGAAGATTTATGCTATCAAACACTGATTATAAAAATAAGACTGACAAAAATGAATTAAGCTATTTTAAGAAACTGCCAATACTGTATTGTTTCATATGAGAAAAGCCACTGACAAAAAAGAATAACTGGCTTCAAGTTTCATATTGAGAACTAAGTACTATATTACTTGATAAATCTACTACAGTATCTCCAGAATGGTTCAGCAGTAAGTCTACTATACAGAAATTTTCATTTAAAATAGTTTCATAGAAGTAATTTAATTTTTTTTAATGGGAGTCATTATAAAATCTTACCCCCAAATCAGCTGAGATATAAACAATACTTTAAAATACAGTAACATAAAGAATGATGTATAGAAAAGAACTTTTACCCAAAATTATAAGATGTACTTACCAATGTGCTATTTGCTTCTACTCGGCTAAGTTCTGGAAGTGAGTTTTTAGCATATACTGAAATGGTAACTTCACCTCCAGTCTGATGCCAGTCATGTCTACATGGAACAACTTTTTTCCCCTGTAATGTAAGAGAAACTCTGTAAGTTAAAAAAGTGCCACATAATTAATTTCTTAAAAAGAGGAATTTGACCCATCTGAGAAAAAACTACCATGCACAACAACTAAGCACTTAATGTTTAAGGGCAAAAAACTTCTATATTTCCCAAGAGGCTTAAACAAGAAAATATATCATGGTACAAAGATTCTTCATAAATTTTATGATTTCAGAACACACTTACTCCTTCCCTTTGTTTTTTTCTTTCAGGGCCATAATATTGATACACAGCTAAAAAGACAATTTAAGAACTCCTACTAAATTTAATCCAATTTAACATTCTGTAACCTACTAAGTACTGTCATCAAAACATTCTTTGAAGACTGAAATGAAAGACATTTGTTTACTGGGATAAATCAGACAACACCTTAACCTCATGCACTAGAAACCTTATTTATTTTCTACAAATCAGAATCTAAGAAAAAAATCTGACCAGTTATTACTTTCTTCCCATTTTAATAAAGAACAAATGATTTTTGGATTTTCTGATTATGAAAATAATCCTTACATACCAGTAGTATACTATACTGCCCTACCAGTATTTTTTTTTATAGAGGCAAATGATGATTTGTTATATAAATGAGAACAATTTAGTTACATAATTCAGGAAACTGAGACACTACTGTTGTAAAAGGTACTATTTTCGTTTTGATAAAATTACATTAACTAAATTTAAATTATATATATCACTCACATTTTTCCCCTTAGCTACTAGCTTAGATACTTAATACTTGATAACTGCATACATTAAAAAACAAGAGAAATTACATCATTTTATCTAGGATTATACTCCCAAACTTAACATAATGGAAAACAACATTTTATTTTTTCAAACTAAAATTTTCAAACTTTTGGACTATAAAAAATACACTCTTTTTATTTAAAAACATTTCTGATAGTTTTGTGGTAGATGAATTTTTATAACTTCAGGGTATTTTTATAATATCCAACCATGTGTTATTAAAAAGCAACTAGGGCCAGGCGCGGTGGCTCACGCCTATAATCCCAGCACTTTTGGAGGTCGAGGCGGGTGGATCACGAGGTCAGGAGTCCAAGACCAGCCTAGCCAAGATGGTGAAAACCTGTCTCTATTAAATATACAAAAAAATTAGCTGGGCGTGGTGGTACGCACCTGTAGTCCCAGCTACTAGGGAGGCTGAGGCAGGATAACTGCTTGAACCCGGGAGGCGGAGGTTGCAGTGAGCCTGCACTGCACGTCTGGGCGACAGAGCGAGACTCTGTCTCAAGAAAAAAAAAAGTGGGGGAGGGGCAGCAACTACAGAAGACTAAAATATTGAAATCTCTAAATTAATTTGAAAATTTAATACATTATAAAATACATTAACAATAGCTAACAGACAAAAACTTATTGAGCAATAAGTTGCTCATCCTCTCACAATTTAATGGGGTTTTGGGAAATTATTTGCATAGCCCCCAAGTCTTTTTAAAAAGCTGTCCAGGGAAGTAGGAAATGATGCTTTTTTCCCCCCTTTTGATAAATATCCCATTAGCAAGCAGAGGCATTCAAAACAATTCCACTGAAACAAGACTGCAATCCTCCTCTCTGGCCACTAGATGGAGTGTTTGTGCATCTGTAAATGATTGAAGTTTTAAGTGGCCAAAAGAATAACAGAGGTCTAAACGTTTAACGTCATCAAATTCATAGAAAAGTAATTTTTAAAAAACAAAAAGTAGGAAGAGGCCATGGAGCTAATTTTATTAATTAAAGAAGACAAAAATTCTTCAATTTTGTCAGGCTTAAGTATTTCACAAAACCTCACATGCTTGCATCAAAACAGACAATGGCTATTTTGCTCAAAAGGCAGTACACTGGCAGCTTGACTCAGATTCATTTTATTTCGTAGTCACATCAAAGCTCTATGGTGCAAAAAAGAAAACTTTTTTTTAAAATCTAAAGACAGAATAATTTCAAATCTTTAAAAAATGACTCAGATGAATATAAACCCAGTGTGCTATTTTTGGAAGAGTTACTTACAGCATCTTTTTTAGTCCACATGTGTTTCCCTTTTGTACAGCCCTCTTGGGCTAAGAATGTATTAAAATCAGAAGTTTTTCTTCTACAACAGCTCCAGTATTTCATCCTTTAAATTATCACAGAAAAACTTCAGAAATAAAATCTCACAACCAATTAAATCCACAAGTATTTTAGGGATAAATCTGATTTTTAATAAGCCAGTAAGTGTACAAACTCTAGCATTTTACAAGTGTCTAAGTTACTAAAAATGAATGTACAGTATATCAGGAAGAATGTGGAAACAGAGTGGAAGATTTTTACACAGTGCTGCATTTCTATAAACTAGAGCATAATACAGAAGAGAGGCTCTCAACTGCAGGATGCGGAAAAGTATGGGTCGTCTTGGGATAATGTTGTCTTAGTGCCCCAGGGCCCAAAATTCTAAATGCCCTGCAATGTGTAGGACAGTCCTTCAAACAAAACATTTAGCCCAAATAGCATCACTTTTAAATACAGAATATGAAGAAAAACAGGCAGTTTATATCACAATGACCACTTAAGAACTGTAACCTTGTTTCTGTTTTCTCATGTATAAACACACAACATACAAACCCCTGTGTTTGTGTAGGCTATTGTGAAGATGTTAATGGCAATGTAAGTAAAATGCCTAATAACACTGCATGGCAAACAATGTTTAAAGACAGAAAGGTTTAACTTTCTAAATTCTACCATAAACTATTTTAATAAGTCATGCATAAGTTACCCCTCATGGAAAATAGGTACTCCAGAATGATATACACAGACTTCTTCTAGACTCTCTAGACCCTGGTATGTCTAAAAAGGAAACAAAGAGAAAAAAAATTAGCTGCGTATCTTACAGTTACATCTCATACATATTTGCAGTATTGGTGACCTCTACGAACTTTGCAAAATACTTAAATGACAATTACCTAGAAAATTCATAAATCCATCCCACGCCATTCTGTTAAAAAATGAAAAATGATTCCCTTTTGGACTTGGTTAAGTTTTAGGTTCCTTTGAGAAAGTCATATTAAGATGCTTTCAGCCTTTTGAGTATGAGATCCCATCCAATCATATTCAAGTACTTACTTAGTTACTAATTTCAAAAACAATGTTGAAACCAAGGGATTAATACTCTCAATAAAAATACAGTTACTGCATGACTTATGTGTACAGTAAACTCCATGTAAGTATTGTCAAATAATATGAGAAATCTAATAAGCAATTCTGGAAGTTCTAGAGTGATGGTGATTTCTTATCCCTATAAAGGGTAAAATGAGCTGCAGACCTATATATATATCCAGGGTTTGTCTGGAAGATCCGGGCCCCATTGCTGCTGTAGATGGAGGCTCTACAGATGAATTCACAAAAAATTATGTTAATAAAACATGGATGTAGCCAGTAGTATATTTTCTATTTTTGTATTTATAGCACTACCTACAAACAGAAAATAAAATTCTGTGTTTATCTTTTATAAATCCAAAGTACAGTATTAGATGTGTATTTCTCCTTAAGATATTTCACAAGAACATAAAACTCAGTATGTTAGCATCTACTAAACTTAATGCTATTGCCCCCACAGTCCATTCTTTTCCCCATATTATTTGATGGCACCGTACAGACTCAGTTTCTCAAAGCAAAATCCATTCGTTCCTCTTCAGCATCTCCTCTCCCTCCACCCATAGGCAGTCTATAATGAAATCTCATCAATTTGACTTGAATATATTAATTTGTTAATCTTCCTCATAAGCTAGCAGATTTTAAGCAATCAGACTATACTAACAGGTTTCTACTATTTCTCAGCCTTCGACTTCTATTTTCTACTAATTATCAAATTACTATCACCCTTTTGTTTAAAGTTCTTTAATTACATCCATGTCACACCTTATACAATAATCAGTTCCAGGTCATTTACATATTTAAATGTGCCTCCATATGAGAAAACACTCACAGCCCTGAAGTAAGCAACGATTTCTTAAATAGAACATGGAAAGCACTAGTCATAAACAAAATGATGGACAAATTGGATTTTGTTAAAAAGCAATTTGATAAAAAGTTTATCAAAGTCGTCATTAAGACAGTGAAAAAGCATAGAATTTCTGATAAGAGTCACAGCTAAAATATATAAAGAATTCTTACAAACTGGTAAGCAAGAGACATTAGAGATAGGTAAAAGATTCTGCACACTTCACAAGAGGATATACAAATGGCTAATAAACATACAAAAAAGCAGTCATCATTAGGGAAGTACAAATCAAAACCATGACAAAACACTATACACACACTAGAATGGTTAAAATACAAAAAAAAAAAAAAAAACAAAAAAAACTCGTATAACAAAATGTTAAGAAACCATAGGACAAGTTGAACTAGCCTCACATACTGCTGGTAGAAACGTAAACAAATACAACCACCTTGGAAAACTATGTGGAAGTATCTGTTAATGCTAAAGATATACAGGTGGGCATACCTAATCCAAAATCTCAAATGCTCCAAAAATCTGTTAACTTTTTGAGAGCCAACATGACAGTTAAAGAAAATGCTCATTGGAGCATTTCAGATTAGGGATGCTGAACTAACTGATAAGTATAATGCACATATGCCAAAATTTAAAAAAAAAAATCCAAAATACTAGAAATGGAAATGTGTATATGTGTCACAAAAGTCATGCACAAGAATGTTCATAATAGGCCGGCTGCGGTGGCTTCACGCCTGTAATTCCAGCACTTTGGGAGGCCGAGGCGGGTGGATCACCTGAGGTTCAGGAGTTTGAGACCAGCCTGGCCAACATGGTGAAACCTTGTCTCTAGTAAAAATACAAAAATTAGTCAGGCGTGGTGGGCACCTGTAAACCCAGCTACTCAGGAGGCTGAAACAGAAGAATCGCTTGAACCCGGGAGGCGGAGGTTGTAGTGAGCCGAGAGCCTACCATTGTACTCCAGGGTGGGTTACAAGAGTGAAACTCCATCTCAAAAAGAATGTTCATAATAGCATTATTAAAAACAATTTTTTAAAATTAAAGGACAATATAAAGTAGAAATTAGTTGTGGCACATTCAAATAATGACATACCTTAAAGAAATAAAAAAACAAAACTAAAGCTACATGCAACAAAGATAAATAAAACAAGCATTATTATGCAGAAGACGACAAAAACAAGTACATATTCTATGGTTATTTTTACATTAAACTCAGAAACAGAAAAAACATATGTTGACTGACAGAAAAACATTTGAGGAAGATAATGAATGAGAAAACACATAAGGAGTGCTCTGCATTGCTGGTGTGTTTAATTTTGTGAAAATCCCTTGAGCTACAAATTTATATTTGTATATCCTTTAACAAACTTCAATGTTATATTTCAATGAAAAAGACTAAAAAATTCTTCAATTTCAATGGCCTCCACACTCTAACGTACAATCTAACTTCCCTGCATCACTAAACCCTTTTAGGATCTGGCCAGGTCTACTTATCTCTATTAATCTCAATTCCACAGCAGCAAATTTGTACCATTACATAATTTTCTCTATACTTGTGCTATTACTTACGCTTGAAATACCCTTTCTCTGTTTTCCCTGTCATTCACTTTTCAAAACACATCTGATACCTTCTCCTTGATCTTCCTCTATTACCCTACCATTTGCACTGCCTTCCCCAATCCAGTAATTACTAATTCCCTTTTATCTACTACTTCTACCTCATATACATGTAAATACAATTGTATCTCCATTCCTTAAGTGATCTAAAATTTAACATGAGGAAAAAGTATAAACCTGCCCCCACCCCATTTTCACCTTGTTGGTTAATGGTGTCACCAATCACCCAGATGCTTGAATTCCCTTCACATCGAATCCATTAGCAAATCCTGCTAATACAGGCAGATGCTCCTTTGCTTACAATGTGGTTATAGCCTGATAATACCATTGTTAAGTCAAAAAAATCTTAAGTTACACCATGGTAAGTTCGGAACCATCTGTACTTTCTGTACTTTCAAATTCTATCATTCATTCTACACGCACTGTTCTAAGGATTCAAGATACAACAAAGAAAAAAAATCCCTATCCTCACAACTTTTACTCAGCATGGGGGTTAGATGGTATAGCTCAGAAGTAAAATAAGTATACAAAATAAGTAATATAAAGTGATTAAGAGCGATGGAGAAAAAAGGAGAGGGAGAAGAAATGTTGGAGGATATGCAAGTTTTATATCAAGTAGCAAGAGGCAGGAAAATGGCTTACTGGTATGTTTGACCGCATCCCACATTTAATCACTTCTCAACAAACTACTCTCCAATCCCACTGTCTGGTCTTCCACAATAGCATCCTAGCTGGTTTCTCTTCTTCCAATTCCACTCCTGCTGCATCACCATGTATTTACCATTCACCAGTCACAGAATCTTTCTAAAACCCTTCCCTAAAGCAAGTAATAGCTTCTCCTAATACTTAGAATAAAGCCCAAATACCTCATCATGGCTTAAAAGAACCACCATAATTCTGTCTACCTGTCTTACCTGCTACCCTTGCCCAAGCTCCACAGACCTTGTTATTCCTTGAATAGCCAAGTTCTAAAGCCTCTGCTCATGTTACTGCATCCAGAACACTCTTCACCCAGGTTTACATAATCCATCCAGTGCAACATGAAGATTTCTGATTTAGTGTTACTATGTCAAGAAGGGCTTTGCTGATAAGCACTCCTTAGTATGTTTTATTTTCTTCCTATCATCCTGATTTTGTAATATCTAACTACCTATTTGTTGCTCTTCTCCCCATTCTAGAATATCAGCTCCATAAGAAAAGAAATGTTTGCTTTATTTGATACTATGTCTCCAGCCCATAAAATGTCTGGCACATAATAAGTGCTCAGTAAATGTTAAGTGAATTGGAATTACTTATTTTCATTATTCTACTGGACATGATGCTACTCAGAGTCTCTTATCCATGATTGTAGCCCTAGTCCCCAGCATAATGTTCAATATATAATATGCATGCAAATGTTTGTTGAATTGAGTCAGCAAACTGCACTTTCCTCAAAATTAAAATTTTACTTCATAACACATCACAAATCTTGTGATATATACCTTTGAACACCCTCCATTCTTACATGAGGTCCCAATCTTAATTTCATCATTGTCTTCTTCTGTAACAAAGAAAAAAAAATCAAATTAAAAAGTTAAAATAGAACTTCGCTGTGGCATCATTCTTAAAAACTAGGTTTTTCCAGAAAACAATACTTTTTAGAAAACGACTGTGACTAGGATTTGCTTATATCCCCAAATTGATATATGACACATTTCTTCTTCTTTTGAGGACCTGGTGTCTTCAACAATGCAGGACACAATTTTTTCCATAACAAAATGTTATATCCAGTATCTTAACTTTGTAAAATAAATCATGAAAGGGTGTTTTCCTCCCATGGTACCAGGTATAAAGTCAGAGAATAGTGAATATATTTTGTATAATGTACAAGAAAACATTTTAAAATATCAAAGAAATTTAGCTGATTCTTAAAAAAATAATGAACCATAAAAGAAAAAAAATTTAATATAGGTTCTCGTTTTGAATAAAGACATATGGAATTAACCTATTAGGTTCTGAAGTATTTGTAGTTTATCATATCTGACATTTAGAAGAAAAAGTTTCTTAACTACAATGTGCGACTTTTCCCTATTTATATGCAGTAAACTACTATTCTCTCTTTTGGATAACTGCTTAACTGTACCAGAAAATAATTAACAATAAAACAAAATAAAATCTTACCTTTCTTATTTTCTTCATTCCCTGATGACAGTTTAAGTTTATCAAGTGCTTGTTTTAGGGAGGCAGATATTTTTAATTCCAAATTTGTCATTGGTTCATCTGGGCTGGAGAATTTTGAAACCTTATTACCATTATTAATATACCAAAATATTTCTTTGTACTCCAAATTAATAACCTTAAAAGCTTTCTGAGAAGCCAAATGCTTTGTGTATCAAATGATTCCCATTAAAAGGTTAAAAGGTATTTTATAAATAATTGTTACAATGTATCTACATTCTGTCTTAACAGAAAAGCTCCTTATATTAGAATAGTAAGTCTCAAATAATCACGCTATTGTCAGCATATTTAAGTATTAATCAGTTGCACTAACGAGAAAGGAATAAAGACTAGGAATCCAAGGTTTTCAAGATGAGTAATGCTGAGGAAGGGACCATAATGTACTTTTACATCCCATGCCCAAGCTCAATGCTGAGCACATAATAAACATGAAATATAAGTAAGTTCTAAGTGAATCCATACTCACTTCTACCAGTGGAGATAATTTATGTGGACACTGGCATATGGATCTGTAAATTCAGATACGATCGTATTGCAAGGCAATTTCAGTAGGGTTTAAAAAACAACATCTTCTAACATTTCATAATGGCTAAGTGTTGTATACATAATTTAAGTCCACTCAATAAATAAGTATTAAACATATTAATAAACACAGCAATAAAAATAAAAATCGTAGGCTATTCATTCTATATCCTCGATGAAAAAACTGACAAAAGAGGCATTTTAAAAGTACATAGGCAAGGCATGGTCGCTTATGCCCATAATCCCAACACTTTGGGAGGCTGAGGCAAGAGGACTGCTTGAAGCCTGGGCAACAAAGTGGAACCCTGTCTCCGCAAAATAATAAAAAATATTAGTCGGTCACTGATATGGTTTCCCTGTGTCACCAACCAAATCTCATCTTGAATTCTAGCTCCCCTAATCTCCACATGGTGTGTGACAGACCTAGTGGGAGGTAACTGGATCATGGGGATGCCTTTTTCCCATGCTGTTCTCATGATAGTGAATAAGTCTCAGAAGTTCTGATGGTTTTTTTCTTGCCTGCCACCATGTAAAACATTCCTTTATTACTCGCTCTACCTTCTGCCATGATTGTGAGGCCTCCCCAGCCATATGGAACTGTGAGTTCATTAAACCTCTTTTTCTTTATAAATCACTTAGTCTCGGGTGTTTCTTCGTAACTGTGAAAATGGACTAATACAGTCATAGTAGCATACACCTATAGTTCCGGGGAGGGTTAGGGAGGAGGATGGCTTGAGCCCAGGAGTTAAAGGCTGCAGTGAGCTATAATGCCACTGCATTACAGCCTGGGTAAGAGAGGGACTTTTCTTCTTAAAAAAAAGAAAAGTATGTAAAAACTGATATCCTCATAATTGTTATAATACCACCAAATGAATTTAGGATAAAATATTTAGTTTTTCTCATCTCACTGCCTTTGTCCTTTTTTTTCAAAAAGTCAATCTCAAGATCCTCCTGCCTCAGCCTGAGTAGCTGCAACTACATGAGCACACCACCAAACCCAGCTAATTTATTTTTTTTGGAGAGACAGGATCTCTTTCAGATTGGTTCTCAAACTCCTAGGCTCAAAGGATCCTCCCTCCTAGGCTTCTCAAAGTGCTGGATTATGGGCTTGAGCCACAGTGCCTGGCCTCTCACTGCCCTTTAAGTAAAATAACAGCCCATCATTTAAAGAAAAAATTAACTCATACTATTATAGTACAGACTGTATTATATTACTAAAGAGATTAAGAATGAGCCATGACTGAAGTTTTGTCTTTTCCCAATTATTTTTCTAACTGCTAAACTGGCCAAAGCATTCAATGGTCTCCTCTAACTATGAAGATGGAGAGAGAATAAAATCATCCTGAGTAGTTTCCTTAGCAATAATCTGTACTCAGAGTGCTAATGAACAAATAAACATCTAAAGTCTCTTAGGGTTCTTATCTTGGTTCTATATTATTCAATACTCTATAAATTTATTTAAGTAGGATCAAAGGAGAATAAAGGGAAAATCATGAGTTCATAGCATGAATAAAAATTACAATAAGTGCCTACTTGCAGCCAAAAAAAAAAAAAAAAATCACCTTTTTTTAAGTCCTGTAGTTTGCTTCTAAAACAATTTAGTACTCAAGTGTAGCACGAAGAAGACCTGGTTCAACAAAGGTACTCAATATACATGTGTGGGAATACAGAGTCTGGTTATCAGAAGGCAAGTATGAAGAATCTGTACAACTCTATTGCACAATGAGCAAACGCTTTTTTAAGACTACTTTCACAAATATGTCATCTAAATCAAATGCATTAAAAATTGACCAGTAGTAATGAGATTAACGGTAGTTTTCAGGCATCTGAAAGTAAAGATGGATGATTAGGCCTCTGCATTATTTTCTACTTCAAACTCATGCCATGAAAAGGAAAACTGCTTCAAAGAATTTTACCATGCCACAGTGAAAAAGATGCACTCTAAGGCACAAGAAAAATGTGACTTCCCTACCCTGATGATACATGTCCCTGTAATTATGACAGTACAATATGCAAATCTGTTATGTAGTTATATTGTGTACATGCTCTCAAGTTGAAGAGAAATAAAAATTTAAGGCAGATTTAAGGGAGAAACCAAATGGTTCAAAGCTTGGTGGCCTACATAGTAGCTACAAATGGTATCATGCTAAATCATAAAGGAAAGTACCATGCACAAGTGCTACTATTCAAGTGTGACAAAAATATGTAACTGTATAAAGTATACCTTGGTCTTTTTATTGCTTCTACTGGCTTAGGGGCTTGAATGATGTGTTCCTGAAATTTGGGTTTTAATTCACATAGCTCCTTCTTCTCAGTAGTCTTGACTTCAGGTTTGACTGGCTCAGGTGGCTTCTCACTATTATGTCTACCTTTTGTACAGCCCTGTTAGTGAAAGATAATTCATTAAGAGCTATCTATTTTACATTTCATGATAGAAATATTATCTTTTCAGTTCTTTATTGATAGTGATTCTATTTCATGTTTTCTCCAGTTTCAATACATTGATTTTAAGAAATTAAAAACAGAACTCCAAATTTGCCATATTTGCTGAATCTCTGAATGACGGCTTTTTTAAAAAGTCTTTGAATTACACTTCATAAACATCTACTTATTCTATTAAAAATATGGCATAAACCTCTTGTTTACAGAAGAATTCTGGAGAATCTCACAAAGAACTGTAAAAAATAGTTATACAGAAAAATCTGTTACTCGAAAGGCCTCAATTTGAGACCTAGTTCTCAACATACTTATTAGTTATATGACCTTAAGCAAGATAATCTTTTTAAACCTCCATCTCCTCATTTGTAAAATGGAGGTAATGTCAGGTAAGATATTTTCTGAGAGAGTTAAATAATAAAATGCCTGGCACATTTGGCAGGTGATAACATTCAACAAACGTTAGCTACTTTTCTACTACATTCTACTGAATTATACATACTCTTTAACACCTCTGAAATGATACAATCAATAGCATTATCAGTTTGTTAGTAGCTTTAGTTTTCTTAGTGGTATATAAAGTGGTTTTATATAAAAGTGGTATGTAAAATATTTCAACAGCATCTTAGATAAAACTTTATCGTTCCTAACTGAAAAGGCTTTAAATTGTTGCTTACCACTTTCTCCTTGATGTTCTTTCAACATAACAGAAAGAACAAACCTAAAATGATAAGCAGGTAACTGATACCTTAAAACGTTAATTTCCAAAACAGATTCTTTATTTTACAAGCTGTGGAAGGGAGATGAGCTGCTTTTTGAAAGGTGTTATCTGCAAGTTGATGAAGACCAATCAATCTATATCAGAAATCAGACTCCTCAAATCTGAAGCTTTCTATAACATGTATTTTTAGGAAGATAATCTAGAAAAAATAATTAGTACTTACTACAATGCTTAAGAAATCAGAAAAATCAGTTGTTCTTCTCTTACAGCAAGACCAACCCTATGAAAAACAAGAGAAGGAAACTAAAAACTCTATTTGCATGAGAAACACGACCCACTAAAACACTCTACTTGCACTTATCTACTTGAATCCTGCAGTAACTTGCGTATAGAGTGCAAAATTTCAGTGTTGCATATAATTCACCTAATCAAGTAAAATGAATATTAATCTTTGATTTTTAAAAAGCCAATTAACCAATGTTAAAGTGATTTGTGCTATGCCCTATCATCAAGGGAAGCACCTTTATAAAACAAAAACTGTTTCTCTTTTCAACAATCGTGTCTGCTTTTTTTTTAGAAGAAAAACATGTTATAATTCCTAAAACTATCATATTTAAAGAATATTCAAAATAAGTATAGGTATTTTACTTTTAAAATCTATTAAGTTAAAGATAGTAACTATCTTTAGTTAATTTTAATTTCACAATAAGCATTCTATTTTCAGAACAACAAAGATTAATTAACACAGCAGCTAAAGCACTATTAAGCCTTTGAAGGTGATCTTTTCAGTGAGAAGCATAAAGACAGAGAAACTATTAGTATTTGTGATTTTTGAACAAACTATCAAGTAGTTTACCAAAAAATGGCTTTAATAATTATCTCTAAATTCCAATGTTTATAGAGCATAGGGAAACAAAAATGCAAAATCTCAAAACTTGGAACTTCAGATTAAGATTTGGGACTAAATTCAGATTAAGATGCAACTTTGCACACATCCGCCTGGACCTCGCTGATTTTCAAAAGACTGCATAAAAATATGGTAGTGATTTTTCTCATTATATGCACCTGTAGGTTCTTTTTCTTTAAAGGTAATTTCAAATATCCTATAATTCAAATTTTCCTTTAATTTGAAATTTAATTATCTTTTACTCCGAATTGAGATGTAGATCAATTACTACAACCTTAAATATAGGGTTTAAATAGCATCAATAATATAGTCAACAGAAAAGTTATTCTATAAGAGAAAAAGTTTTACTGTCTTAATCATGTACTAAATTATGTCAGATACTGTGATACACACATGTAAAATACAATACAGGCCAGCTGTTCCCAAATGCCAATCTGGATTCTATGCTAGTCTTCAGTACAATGAGAAAAGGAAAGATAAATTTAAGTTATGTGAATATAAGGTTGCTAGTTGTCTTTTTTCAGCAAGATTGTCCTTTTCTCTGAATATGCCCCTTCTAATATTAAAATAGTATTTCTTTTGTCAATGCAATGTTTAACTTCTTACTTGGTCAACTAGTATCCCTGTATTGATGTATACGCATTTTGTCTGAAATCTTCTGGACTGTGAAATCCAATAATCTTGGAAAGTCTAGGACTTTAAGAAATGGTTATAAAATAGAGACCACAATAAACACTACAACTGCAAAAGAGAGAGAAGCAAAAATACTTCAAAGTGAATTCATTAAGACTTGGAGTGATTAACAATGCGGTAAGAGAAAAAACGGGCAATGGACCAAATGATCAGAAAGTCAGTAGTATCATTACTAGGAGCAGTAAAGTTGAGAGGCAGACTACTTTTGGAATAAACGGTACACACTAGAAACTGGTTTGATGTTGCCAATGAGACACATAAATAGAAATATGTTGTAAGAGCCATCGGCGTAGAGGTGACATTTGAGAAAACCAATGAATGAACTGAATGAGAGAAAACAGCCAAAGGTTACCTTTAAGAGCTAAGAGGAAAACAGCATAGGGAAAAAAAGAAAAAGACACAGTAAAACAAAAATATCAGAAGAAATGGCAGTCTAGGAAAAATAAAATTCCACAAAAAGAAAAATAAACATTTCCACAGCACCACAGTTTCCACCACAACAAAGATTTGTAAAAACTAAAAAAATGTATGGAGGAATAAGGTCTCAACTTGCCCTACTGAATGTCTTCTCTGTTTTCCTCACTCAGAACTAACCAGACTAATACATCTTTTGTTAGATTTGGTGGTGTTAACAGTGAAGTGCCAAAACAGTCTAACTACTCTTTGGAAGGTATAATTAGACATTTAAAGGGCACCAACAATATTTAAACATGTTAAGACTGCTTATGTTCCTGAGAACCAAAGAAGTAGAACCTAAAACCATGGCAGCCCTACCACAGCATCATCTTTTGAGATATACAAAGGAAACTCTTTAAATGTATCATACTATCATGAATTTTAAAAAGATGACCAGCAAAAACCTAGTCAAACAACATTCCACCAATTCTCCAGAACATCCAAGAAGTATAGCTGGAAAACTCACAGGTCTGTCCCGAGATTGGCACTAAATGTTTATAAGAATCTTTTCTAAAATTCAGAGCTGTTATTAGCCAGTAGTGACAGACTGAGATTCAATACAACCACTCTATTTTCCCTCAAAATTAGAAAAGTGAAGAAATGGGTGTAGAAAATGAAAATTAAGACCAGGCATGGTAATCCCAGCACTTTGGGAGGCTGAGGCAGGTGGATCATCTGAGGTCAGGAGTTCGAGACCAGCCTGACCAATATGATGAAACCCTGTCTCCACTAAAAATACAAAAATTAGCTGGGCATGGTGGCAGGTGCCTGTAATCCCGGCTCCTCAGGAGGCTGAGGCAGAATCGCTTGAACCCAGGAGGCGGACGTTGCAGTGAGCTGAGATCGCACCACTGCACTCCACCTGGGCAACACAGTGAAACTCCATCTCAAAAAAAAAAAAAAAAACCCAGAATTAAAATACAATTTTATAACTGGAAAAGACCTTAAGATCATCATCTACTGTCTTTTCTTTGTCTTTAGTGGAGTATACGCTTAAAGCACCTCCCCCGCAAAGGTCATTAAGAAGAAAGTCACTAGCTGAGAAAAAAAGATGAGAAAATAAAGATTTAGTATTACATCTCTCAATTTACTACACAGATATGAAAAAAATGAAAATATAGTTCCTACCTTTAATGCATCGTGAAAGACCGGAACACCTGGGTGGTATGTGCAAGCATCTGGAGAAAACAGAGAAAAAAAAAAAAGTACCACTCTTTATAATGAAGAAAAATATATACATGATCATCTCCTTAAGGTGTTAACCTTTAATCCTTTTTCCAAACGCAAGTACCTTAAAAAGGTACAAATGATTGAGTTTGACGTGCAGCACAAAGTGTACTATATTAAAATAGTATTAAAAATTCTAATTCAAGCATATGATGACTAAGGACAAAAATACAGAATTGTTTATGTATAACAATTATATTTTATATTCCCCTAATCTTGGTAGTAAAATTTGTTTAGTACCAAAACTTCAAACCCCCAAATTTTGACCATCATTTTTCAAACCTGCTTTTACAAATGTACTATCAAACTTGAAGTATTCTTATGTGCATTCATCCATAAAGGTTTCACAAGAGATTCCCTTAAAGACATTTTGTAATAACAGGCTCAACATTTTAAATACTGTAAAGATTTTTTGCAGTATCTAATTGGTAATTTAACTTTCCTAGACACAGTCATTCCTAGGTACAAACCTCACTAAAAAGAAGACTAGGGTGCCTCTGCCTGGCCCCTGCCCTGTTTGGGAAGTGAGGAGCTCCTCTGCCCTGCCCCCGCCCAGTCTGGGAACTGAGGAGTGCCTCTGCCTGGCGGCAGCCCTGTCTGGAAAGTGAGGAGCACCTCTGCCTGGCCACTGTGCAACCTTCCAAGTGTGAAGTGACAGCCTTGTGTGTGATCTTTCTGCCTTCCCCAAGTGTGCATTTTCAACATTAAAGTTTACTTTTTAATTAAAAAAAAAAAAAAAAATAGAAGTCTAGGTGGGCCTGGTGGCTCATGCCTGTAATCCCAGCACTTTGGGAGGCTGAGGTAGGCAGATCACCTGAGGTCAGGAGTACGAGACCAGCCTAACCAACATGGTGAAACCCCGTGTCTACTAAAAATACAAAAATTAGCCGGGCGTGGTAGTGCATGCCTGTAGTCTCAGCTACTCAGGATCTTGACAGGAGAATCGCTTGAACTTGGGAAGCAGAGTTTGCAGTGAGTCAAGATCATGCCACCGCACTACAGCCTAGGTGACAGAGCAAGACTCCATCTTAAAAAAAACAAACAAAAAAAACTCTCAAGTTCTACAGCCTATTTTCTAGATTCTCACTGGGTGTTATTCTATACTTCCCTCCCCACTACACCATCAATCTTTACTTCTCTTATGTAAATGGGTTTATTACAATTTGTGTTGGGAACAGGCCCCCAAATCTGGCCATAAACTGGCCCCAAAACTGGCCATCAACAAAATCTCTGCAGCACTGTGACATGCTCGTGACGGCTTTGATGCCCAGGCTAGAAGGTTGTGAGTCTACCTGAATGAGGGCAAGGAACAACTGTCCCACCCAGGGCGGAAAAACACTTAAGGCATTCTTAAACCACAAACAATAGCATGAGCCATATGTGCCTTAAGGACATGTTCATGCTGCAGATAACTAGCCAGAGCCCATCCCTTTATTTCCCGTAAGGAATACTTTTAGTAAATCTCCATTGGAGGCTCTCAGCTCTAAGGCTGTGAGACCCCTGATTTCCCACTCCTTACTATATATTTCTGTGTGTGTGTCTTTAATTCCTCTAGCACCACCGGGTTAGGGTCTCCACGACCAAGCTGCTCTCAGCAATTTGCAAGATGGAGTACTATATTTTTAAAAATCAGGTAACAGTCAGCTTCATCCCTCTGCAATCTGCTTAAAAGACTATCTTTCAACCTTTCAAGTCTATTTAGCTTTCAATGCTCTACAACAACCTTGTCCAACATGCCGCCCCAGACAACTCTGAATGTAGCCCAACACAAATTTCGTAAACTGTCTTAAAACATTATGAATTTTGTTTTTGTTTTCTTTTAAGCTCATCAGCTATCATTAGTGTTAGTGTATTTCATATGTGACCCAATTATTCTTCTTCCAATGTGGCCCAGATAATTCCTCTTCTTCCAATGTCGCACAGGGAAGCCAAAAGATTGAACACCCTTGCTCTATCACCTGATTCCTGGTGTTGCCTCAAAATTTACTACTGGTGCTCACAGAAATCTCCCTACCCCGTTACTAGCCAGTATTGCTTCCTTAGTAACCATGTGCTGCATAGATACTAGCTAATGTAGAAAGTGTTAGGTATCTTCCTGATACAGTAAGTAAATCCGTGGGATCAGAAAGATGTTATTAATTAAGGGTAGTTGTGGAATTAAGGGCTGAAAAAGGAGGTTGGAAGTAGAAATGGGTATGCAGAAGGACATGAAGTTGAGAGGGGAATGGAAGTAGAGAATAGATCCAGTATTTTCAAACACCAAATTTAAAGTAGTCAGAAACATAAACGCAATGTATAACAGAGTCAGAGGCATAAAATGTCACAATAAGTCAATTTTGGCAGCATGGCAGCAGGAATGAGTCAGATCTGAACCATACAACTAACATGAACACAATTAGAAAGCCACTGCTTTCAAAAACAAGAAGTAACAAGCAAATGGACATTCTTCATTCTTTCTTTAATATCCATCCTTTCTTTATCAGTTTTAAGAGTTTTGGCAAAATTAATATTTTATGGGTGAGAAGCTACAAGACAGTAGCAGTGGTTAAGTGTCCAGGGCTTCTAACATTGGGTCTGACCCTGGCTAAATTTCTCACTGAGCTACTCGCTAGTAGTTCCTTCAGTTTTCCTCGTATACGTCGATTAAAAAAAATACCGTTTGTGAAGCTGTGTTTATTCTAGAATAAGTGTTTAACATATGTAAGTTACCAACTGTGTCTCCCTTAAACACCCTTTAACTTCAGTTACAAGTTAAAACGTTCTATCAGCTTAAAAGGGAGTCTAATTTCTGTCTCTAGGGGGAAAAAAAAATCATGAGACTATAAGTCAACGAGCACGGTAATTATGCCACAGCACCGAGAAAAAAAGCATTTAGTGTAGATTAAGAAATATTTAAAGATGACAGATCCAACATCTGGCTTACGCAAAATGGAACTTGCTTGTGTATTTACCTCTTTTAACTTATTTCTGTCAACTGTACAAGGTCAAACCTCTTCCTAAAAAACCTCCTAACCAACCTTTCTATTTAGTTCTTGTCTCCTACTCCGTATCTCCATTTTCTTCTCCTTCCATTCACTCAATCAGTTTACTTGAAAAATGTATTCTAAGTCTCTAAAAAAACCGTCATTTCGCTAAAGTAAATATACTTATTGGAATTTCTCTGCTGTAACTAGTACTGCTGACCACCCAAGTTTTGAGACGGTTTTCCTGGTCGCTTTCTGTTTCCTAGGCACTGCACCAATTCACACATGGATACAGACTTCCAACAAATGACTATCGCCCCTGAACTTTATTGTCTCATAAGCAAAGCGTCAGTCTTTCCCCTGTATTCTATATTAAAGTAGAATATCTGCAGACATAAGTGCAATTAATGTTTTACATAGGCTGCCAACACCAAAGGGCTTTAAAATCGTTTCTCGATTTTGTCATCGACTGAAATCTCACAATTTTCCTCATGAGTAGCATCATATTTGCATCATAAAAATGTCAGTGGCGGTAACTTGAGTATTGCATAGGTTGGATTTTCCTTTTCCTTAAAACTCTGTATCAATGGTCTTATTTTAAATAACGCTATCAATTTACCTGTGTGCCAAAAATAAGTATTTCAAACATCTCAGAGGTGAAGAGTTCAAAAGGCATCAGTTTTCATCTCCTCCACAATAATGAAGGATGTTATTAATACAACCTCATTGAACTGAGCTTCTCTATCAAATGGGTCTAATTAACATTACATGCGTCCCAGGGTGGTTATGAAGATTAAATAAGATAAAGCAATAATGGCTGGCATGCAGAAAATATAAACTAAATGCTAGTTCAATCTGAAAACGTGTTGTCACTTCTCACGATACGCAAGGAATCATCTCACTTCTTTGTCAATCAAAATTTCAATTCACTGATCATTTCCCGTCCTTCACCTAATAGTCATTTTCGCTTTGGATCCTTAACTCGACATCTAGGTGCTGTAGATGACATTCACTCATTTTATACGGGAGTAGGCATGGTAGTAAAACGTGGAGGCCACAAGAAGAACAAGCAACAAATGCCGCTAGTAATAAAAAGATAACTAACGTACCACCAGGATGAACCTATCAAAACAGCGTGAAGATACAGAGTAATGTCCCTTACCAAGAACACTTGTAAGAGGTTTGTAACAGCGGATCGACTGAACACAAACTTCTACAAGGCAGAGCTTACATGCTAGGACAACCCGCTGCTCATCCCGGCCACCTCTCCCTCTCGCGCAGGCAATCACAGCCATCACTACTTCGGGAACTACAAAGCAAGCTCACCAGTACCTCGTTAATTTTTGCTTCCCCAGAGACTGGAGGGCCAGAGGAGAAACGTGTTCGTTCTAAATTCCAGGCGACTTAAAAGGAGTGCGGGGACGACGGGGGAAACACGTGGATCCATGGGAGCGTCTCTCTCCGCAGTGGCAGAGGACAGTCAGGCGCCGGGGCCGGGCGCTCGCCAAGGGAACGCGGCGCAACAGAGGGGCGGCCGGCGGGCTGCGCGGGCAGCCAAGGGAGGCCCAGGAGGGGCATGGACCTGGGGCCGCGCGAGGACGGCTGCAGGAGATCCGCGGACACCCTCCGGCCCAAAGGGCCTCCCCTGCTGATGAGGTGGAGGGGAGGGAGGGCTGGCGGCGCGTTCCTCTTACCGTCGGAATTGGTCTCAGGATCGAAGCGCTGACCGCAGCCCCGGTTGTAGCACAGCAAGGCCATTTTCTTTTCCCACCGTCACAGGCAAGGCCCAAACACCGGGAACGGCAAGAGGATGCGTTTGCCACTCCCGTGTCGCTAGCACCGGTCTGACGACTGAGGCGGCTACCGGCTTCCGGAAACGATCCGTTGCGTTTCAGGAACCTTCGCGAATTTTCCGGTCGCGCAGGCGCAGAGGAGAAGGGACGAGGCGGAGGTAGCGGCGGGAGGCTGGCACTAGCCCGGGCCACGATAGGTCGGACTACAGCTGGTAGCAACTGGGGGTCGGAAGTGGAGCCCAGACAACAGCGGAGGAGAAATTTCCGGGGCAGAAAATGAAGGTGTCCGAGAGACTGACAATTCTCTTCTGACTTCCTCAGTGCTAACTGGCTTTGGGTATCTCCTGCAGCAAAGTGGCCGCCCCGCCCTCTCATCCCCTGCGACCCAGCACCCTTCTTCCTTGCCTTGAGGCTGCGCCTTAGACAGCCCGGTGGGTATCTGTTTACCCCTTAGCACTAAGGGATAAGTGCACAGTAAGTGCAGAATCATACAGTGTTTCCAAATCCTCAGGGTAGACGTGTGAGCTTAGTAAATGAGAGGAATAGCGGACGAACCTCTCCGTGTGTTTGTGTCTCGAGTGCCCTCATCTCAGGAGCAATTTTAATAACTTAACAGTTGCGGTCACATTACTTTGAAAATACAAAAAACGTAGAAATCAGAGTAGCAAAGAAAATTATGGATCTGATGCTGTGCCAGAATTGATCACAGTTGCTCTAAAGCCCTGGGGTAATAGTTAATATTTCATGTGAGCCTCCACTTAAACGATTTATCAATACTCAGTACACCACTCTTGGAACAGCTAGTAAAACTTCAGGTGCATTATAAAAAGTACAGTAATGCATTGGCTTCAACTTGCATATTTCCCAAACATGGGCGTTTGCAAGAAAAGCAAACACTTTTTGATAACATATACTGAAGGATCTTAAAATAAGATCAGCAGCTTATAAGTGAACCTAAAAATCTATACACTGTTTCCATTGATCTCAAGGTTATTTAGAGATCTGCTCACGTCCTCCTACCCCTAAAGACTTTTTAGTTTTTCATATTCTCTTTCTCTTCTTCTACCTAGAAGTATTAAATTTTCATATTGTGATCCACCATAGATAGGTATGTTTTCTTCATTTAACCTAACGTGAGTATTTTTCTATTTTGTTTCATAGTCATTGTTACAAATGACGGAGTATTCTGTTGAATAAATGCACTGTAATTTAACCTTTCTCTAATTTCCCCAACTTTATTATATATAAGTTACAGTGCTCAACCTGTGTATTGTTTTTCTTATTTCGAATTTCCCCCTTTAGGAAAATTTTTGGAAAGCGACAGTTCTGGGGTAAAGGGCATAAGGCTTTTTAAATAACTTTAAGATTTTAAAGATATATAGAGCCAATTGCTTTCCGAAAGGTGGTACCAATTTACAATTGCACCGGCTGTGAATGTAATAGACCGTAGAAATTGATCATACACAATTGGAAATGAGTAAGTGGAGAGCTCTAAAAAGTTTTAGTTGTGACCAAATCTGTTGTCTTGAGTATCCTAGTATCAATGCAACATTACCAGGATTGTTAGTGAACTAAACCTTTTAAATAATTTTAATGTTTATTTCTAGTTTTTCATCTGTAGCATTTTACAATCAGAATATAATTGCTTATGGTAGATAATTTGGAAAACGCAGAAGTATACTAAGAACAAAGTCAACAATAATTCCACCACCCAGCAATAAGTACTGAATGGCTAAAATAACTCTTTGGTAAATTTATTTTCAGTGTTTCCTGACACCCCAAGCATTTATAGATATATATGTTTAAAAAGAGTCGTGTTATATATAGGAGTTTATGTTCCTCCCTTGGGTATTTTGAGAAACTATAAAATTAAATCATTCTTATGATTAAGAAAAACAGTGTTACAGCAACAGCCTGTTTCAATCCCACCTCCACTTACATTTCCATTCCAACACTTCAGTGCTGACTAACACCCACTGTTTGAAAAACTTTCTAGAATTTACATGTATATTTTATATACACTTTGAATATATCTTCCCTTCCTTCTTTACCCCCATACATATCAAAATATGCTTTAACTTTGACTATCTTGTTATTAACAAAAGACTTAAATAAATATGTTAACTTAAAACAATTGTCAATTATTCTTGGTGCAAAATGAATGTTTATCATACTACTCTCTTTTTCTGCATTTAAAAATATTTCTTAAAACAATTCAGTTAAGTTTAATTAAGCTCCATTATCTTGGGCTGGGTGCTGTGGCTTACGGCTGTAATCCCAGTACTTTAGGAGGCCAAAGTAGGTGAATCACCTGAGGTCAGAAGTTTGAGACCAGCTTGACCAACATGACGAAACCCTGTCTCTACTAAAAATACAAAAAAATTAGCTGCGTATGGTGGCGCATGCCCGTAACCCCAGCTACTCGGGAGGCTGAGGCAGGAGAATCACTTGAACCGGGGAGGCAGAGGTTGCAATGAGCTGAGATCATGCCATTGCATTCCAGCCTGGGTAACAAGAGCGAAACTCTATCTCAAAAAAAAATTAATTAATAATATAAATAAATAATAATTAAGTTCCATTATCTTAAAAACGATTATAGATATGTATGTATCCATGTACGTGTATAAAATAATATTTGAAAAGACCATTAATCTCTTATAATAACGGATATGTATAAAGACAAGGATGAGTTTAAAGGAGTAAAGTTAATATTTTACTTTATACTCTTAGATATGTTTTGAAAATGTAAATACATACTCATTTTTGATATAGTTAACATTATGAAGAGGACAAAAAACCAACTTAACAATGACTATTTTTATTTGTTCTACTTTATTCGAAAGATGAAAATTTCATCCATTATGATTGTGTGTTGAGCAGTTTGTGGTTTCTGTATTTTGAACATATATTATTCATCCTATAAAGGTGCATGTCTTTCGTATTTACATAGTTTATGTTTTTAATATAAAATGACCTTCTTTGTATCATTTTGTATTTTTGTCTTGAAACCTACTTTGATATTAATGCTTCAACTTTTGCTATGTTTCTCTTTGTTTTTGCCTAATAAACCTCACCCTATCCATTTATATTTAACCTGTGTCATCTTGTTTTGGGCATATCTGCTGTAAGCAGCAGATAGATTGCATCTTGTTTTTCTTTTTTTAACTCAAATCCGAGAATCTTTTTATTTTGCAGAGAAGCTTAACCTTTTTATTTCTGATTAATGCTTGAAAGTTCAGGTGCCAAAGTGGCCCAGAACTTATTAATGGTTTTATAAGTCAATTAACGTCAATAAGCCTGAGTTTTCTTATCTGTAAAACATTGATAACAGAGTGCTGTGAAGATTAAGTTAAACAATGCATGTAAAACATATAGTCTAGTGTAAGCACTGAATGATAATTTCACAAAAGTTTAGCAATGAAAATGGTCAACTTAGATGTTTAGTCCTATTTGGTTATTTCACTTTTGTTTTCCCTTTTATATGCAGTTGTGTCTGCTTCCTTGCTTTTATTTTATTCTATTTTCTAAATAAAGTATGTGCTTGCTTTTTTATTTTGTCCACGATTTAAAAAAAAAATATATATATAGGTTTTAATTTATTTCAGCATGTATTAAGTAGTTAATGTGTGTTGGTACATTAGATGCAGGATACAGTGGTGAACTGAAGTGACATTTTACCTGTCTTCGTTGTATTTGAATTTTATAAGAAAGACGGATGTGAATCAAATATTCCCAATTATGAATTCAATCACTGATAATTGCCATAAATGCTATGAATGGGAAGTACGTTATGCTAAGTTAGTGGAGATGGGAATTTGCCTAATCTTGAGTTGGAGTGCAGGCATAGGTGTTAGTCTAAACAGAAGTCCTGCAATGGAAGGTAGTATAACATTAAAGAAAGCACAGAATCATCGAGGTAAACCAATGCTCAGAAATAAGGGATACCAGATGTATTAGGACATTCTTGCATTGCTATGAAGAAATACCCAAGACTGGATAATTTATAAGAAAAGAGGGTTTAATTGGCTCACATTTCTGCAGGCTATACAGGAAGGGCTCAGGAAGCTTTAACTCATGGCAGAAGGCAAAATGAGAGCTTGTACTTCACATGGTAAATGCAGGAGCAAGTGGTGGGGGAGGTGCCACACACTTTTAAATGATCAGATCTCATGTGAACTCAACTGGAGAACTCACTCATCACCCAGGGGATGGCCCAAGCCATTCATGAGAGATGCGCCCCCATGACCCAAATACCTCCCACCAGGCCCCATCTCCAAGATTGGGGATTACATTTCAACATGAGATTTGGGCAGGGAAAACTATCCAAACTATATAATTCTTCTCCTGGCCCCTCCCAAATCTCATGTCCTCACATTGCAAAATAGAATCATACTTTCTCAGCAATCCCCTAAAATCTTGACCTTTGCCAGATTTAACTCAAAAGTCCAAAGTTTCATCTGAGACAAGACAAATCCCTTCCACCTATGAGCCTGTAAAATAAACAAGTTAGTTACTTCCAAGATACAATAGGTATGTATAGGCATTGGGTAAACATTCCCATTCCAAAAGGGAGAAATTGGCTAAAAGAAAGGGGCTATAGGCTCCATGCAAGGCAAAACCCAAGCAGGCCGTCATTAAATCTTAAAGCTCCAATGTAATCCCCTTTGACTCTATGTTCCACATCCAGGGCACACTGGTGCAAGGAGAGGGCTCCCAAGGCCTTGGGCAGCCCTACCCCTATACCTTTGCAGAGTACAACTCCCCCAACTGCTCTCATGGGCTGGGATTGAGTGCCTGTGGATTTTCCAGGTACAGAGTACAAGCTGCTAATAGATCTACCATTCTCAGGTCTGAAGGATGGTGGCCCTCTTCTCACAGTTCTACTAGCCAGTGCTCATTAGAGACTTTGTGTGGAGGCTCCAGCCCCATATTTTCCCCTCCACATTGCCCTAGTAGAAGTTGTCTGTGAGGGTTCTGCCCCTGCAGCAGGCTTCTGCCTATACATCCAGGCTTTTTCATGCATCCTCTGAAACCCTCACAGAAGCTTCCAAACCTCAGCTCTGGCACTCTGTACATCCACAGGCTTAACATCTCATGTAAGCCATGTAAGCTTATGGCTTGCATCCTTCAAAGTGGCAGCCCGAGCTGTACCTGGACCCTGTTGAGCCATAGCTGGAACTGGAGTGGCTGGGATGTGGGGAGAGTAGTTTGCCAAGGGCTCGGCCCATGAAACCATTCTTCCCTCCTAAGGCCTCTGATGGGAGGGGCTGCCATGAAGTTCGCTGAAATGACTTCAAGTTGTTTTCCCCATTGTCTTGAATAGTAGCACTTGGCTCCCTTTTAGTTATGCCAATGTATCTAGCAGGTGGTTGCTCCACAGCCTGCTTGAATTCCTCTCTACAAAAAAGCTTTTTCTTTCTCTGCCATATGGCTAGGCTGCAAAATTTCCAAACTTTTATGCTCTGTTTCCTGTTTAAATATAAATTTCTACTTTAAGCCATTTCCTTGCTTCTGTATCTAAGCAAAGGTTGTTAGAAACAGCCAGGCCACATCTTGGGCACTTTGCTGCTTAGAAATTTCTTCTGTTAAATACCCTAGGTTATCACTCTCAAGTTCAGATTTCCTCAGATACCCAGGGCATGAACAGAATGCAGCCAAACTCTTTCCTATGGCATAACATGTGTGACCTTTGCTCCAGTTCCCAATAAGTTCCTCGTTTTCATCTCAGATCTAGTCAGCCTGGATTTCATTTTCCATATCACTATCAGCATTTTGGTCACAATCATTTAAGCAGTCTCTAAGAAGTTGCACACTTACTCTCATCTTCCTGTCTTCTCTAGAAAGACATACTCCACGTGATCCTAACCTCTGGCCATTATCCAATTTCCAAGCTGTTTCTACATTTTCAGGTATCTTTATAGTAATACTCCACTCTGAGTACTAATTTTCTGTATTAGGTCATTTTTGCATTACTATAAAGAAATGCCTGAGACTAGGTAATTTATAAGAAAAGATTTAATTTGCTTATGGTTCTGCAAGCTTTACAGGAAGCGTAATTTCTGGTGAGGCTTCAGGAAGTTTTACTCATGGTAGAAGGCAAAGCAGGAGCTTGCACTTCACATGGCAAAAGCAGGGAAAGAGAGAGAGAGTTGGGGAGGGGAGGTTCCACAGACTTTTAAATGACCACCAGATCTCAGAGCAAGAGCTCACCTATCACCAAGGGAATGGCCCAAGCCATTCATGAAGGATGGACTCCCATAATCCAAACACCTCCCACCAGGCCTCACCTTCAAGACTGGGGATTATATTTCAACATGAGATTTGGATGGGGGCGAATATCTAAACTATAACACCATCTGAGGCTGGAAAGGTAGACAGAGGCCCAACAACACAGGCAGCCTGAGAGGCAGCTGTAAGGATGATTAAAAGGCTTTTATCCTTAGGGCAAAGAGGAATAATTGAAAGGAGTTTTCCATTAATGTGATTTTTCCAGAAATCTCAAAATTAACTGAAGGCATGCAATAATCCAAAGAGCCCTTATTCAACAAAAGTGCTAAATATTGGTAAGAACAACAAATTGTGTGACATTTTAATTTCCCTATTTCCATTCTCTTCTTTATACCTAAATGGTAGGTATAAAATCCAGCAGCCTCTCAACAATAGGTATGTAAAGTGGAATTCTAGAAGCTACAAGAGGAGGCAGAATGGCATTGTCTAAGCATTGACCCATCTGACAGCTCCTTGGAAAAGCTCAATTTTTAAGGCTTGTGATCGTTTTGACTTACTGAAAGCTTGTTGATTGGGAAAAATCTTGTTTCTAGGACATTTGCTGAAAACAATCAAAAGTGATTGTTTAACATGGCAGCTGCCTGAGGAGACTATACGAGTTGAGGCCAATAAGAAGCTGGCCAATAAAAATGTAAATGGAAGAGTTTATGAGTGAGATAACACCAGAATCTTTGAACAACACTGACATATTCCTAAGGAATGTGAAGAAAGCCACATCCATGAGTAGGGCTGTGTCCATGTAAAAGAATGATCTGAGAAAGTTCCATCCTCTCATCTCTACTTGAACTTTAGGTCCTTTGAAGCAGGAAGGGAAGACTAATGCAGAATTGTAAACTATCAAAACATTGAGAGCCTGTCAATACATACAAAGAGCCTCTCAACAAATAATATACAGCTTATTCACTCAGGGTATATAAGGAAATCTCTGTCCAATCACGAGCTTAACTACAAAGCTAACTGTACAGAGGACTCAGTGGCCACAAATAACAGGGAATAAAGAGTTTACAGAATTAGTCCAGGAGATAAATAATAACAACAACAACAACAACAATAAATGGCAATCAAAAGAAAGGCTGGGAGGAGATAATCTGATTTCTAGAGTTGTCACATTATATTATATAAAATATCCAGTTTTCAATAAAAAATTATGTCTTGTAAATAAGAAGAATGGCTCATATACAGGAAGAAAAAAAAGCATGCAATATAAACTGTCCCTGAGGTAGATATTGGACGTAATAGGTAAAGACTTTAAATCAATTATTATAAATATGTTCAAAGAAATAGAAGAAACTAATTCTAAAAAACAAAGAGACTGATGTCTCAGCAAATATTACTAATGAAGAAATAAAAAGTAAAAATTCTCAAATTGAAAAGTATAATAACTAAAAATTTACTATAAGGATTCAATAGAAGATTAGTCCTGGTAGAAAAAGAGAATTTGAATATAGGTCAGTTTACATCATCTAGTCTAAGGAACAGGAAAAAAACTGAATAAATAAAGATACATAAAGTCTCAGAGACTAATTGAACAGTATCATGCTTACCAGCATACACATATTAGAGTCACAGAAGAAGAGAATATGGGAAAAGGGGAAGAAACAGTACTTGAAGGTATAATAACTAAAAACTTCTCAAATGTAGTTAAAACATTAATGTACACATCTGAAAAATTTAGGAACCCCCAGTAAGACAAACTCAAAGAGATGAACATATACAAAATAATAAAATTGTCAAAAGCCAAAAATACTGAGAGAATTTTGAAAGCAGTAAGAGAAAAATGGGTCTCCACATATAAGGGATTCTCTGTAAGATTAACACATGATTTCATTTCCAAAACACTGTAGTCCAAACAGAAATAGGATGACACAGTCAAAGTCATAAAAGAATAAGATCATCAACTAGTCTATTTTGCAAAATTATACTTCCAAAACTAAGTATAATATTTATAGATTTCAAGTATTAGTATGTGGGCATCTTGTGAGGGTGAGGCATTATTTAGCCTACCACAATACCAGTATCATAAGGTTCTCCAAAGCAACTGAAAATGGTTTCCATCAGTTTGGTCTTATCCATATCTGTCCTTGACTTAAACTACTTCTGAGTGATATAAATATTTAAAGCCTTTTCCAATATCTGATTTATTTATTTCCTGGTGAATTAATACCCTCTAAACTCCCCAGTTGTAAAATGAAGAATTTAGGAGGTTGTGTTCTCTAGATAGTGAAATGATTAAAAATATTATGAACTTCTGAGTTGAAAACAGATTAGACTCTCCAACACTTAATAAGGATGTGGTTTTAGGAAAGGTATTTTACTTTCGATGTCTTATTTGTAAAATGAATTCAATATTGTCTACTTCTTTAGTTTTATTGGTCCATAGATAAAGAAAATTGTGCTACCAGGTAGATCATATCCAGAATCTCACCCACACCTAATTTAGATTATTTAGATGATGAGATTTGGATGAGATCTGAGGATTTGAATTGATGCTATAATGGGTTCAGAAATTTTGAGGACCTTGAGATGGAGCAAACATTTGGAGTAACATTAATCTGGCAGCCAGAGGGCCAGATGTGATGTGTAGAATAAGGTTTACCCAAGAATTTGTATACCTTAATTCCTAGAACTCTGAATATTATGTTACATGGCAAAGGGGATGTAAGGTTGCAGATAGAATTAAGATTGCTAATTAGTAGACATTAAAATAGAGATTTTCCTGGACATCCAAATGGGCTCAATGTAATCTCAAGCTTCCTAAAAAGTAGGAGAGGCTATACAAGAAGAGGTTAGGGTGATGTGATGTGAGAAGGACTCGACTCACTGTTGCTCACTTTGAATATGGAGAAAGCAGTTTACAAGCCAATAATGGTGGGTAGCCTCTAGAAGCTAGAAAGGGAAGGAAACACACTTTCCTCTCTAACTTCCAAAAAGGAACATAGTCCTTTTGACACATTTGTTTTAGCCTAGTGAGACCTGTGTTGGACTTCTGACATACAGAGTTGTAAAATAATACATTTGTCTGTTTTCAAGCCACTATAATTTAGGTAATTTAGTACAGGAGCAAGAGAAAATTAATACCTGTTTGAGTTTCCATGAGGATTAAATTTAATTAATGCATATAATACTGGTTTCCCAGTTACAGGTTAATTAATAGAAATTCATGTTATATTTCTCCTGATAGCTCTTTCCTCTTTTTAGATTTTATTAATGAGGAGAATTGAAATCACATTATTAATATTAAACTAATAGCTTTCATGTTATATATCCCCTTTGGAAATAATTTTTGTAATTTATATTCAGTTTTGTGACCATATCTGCAATATTTCTACTTAGTCATATGTTTAATTTGCTTTAATAACCGCTGTCAACATACCATAATTTACTCATATCAGTTTCTTAACTTTAGAGTGATGTTGTTTCTGAATTCTTTTAGTTCTAAGGTGTCTCTTTTGAATGACAACTTACCTGGACATCAAATTTTGGGTCAAAATCACTTTCTGTCAAAATTCTTCTTTAGGTATAACTGCTATTTTCGGATGTTTGGTATTGCAAAAGAGAAGCTGGAAGCCAGAGTAAATTTTGTTTATAGGTTATCAGTGTTTCCTCTTTGGATACTTGTGGACTTTTTCAAAACTGTCATGTCATATATGTTGCTAGCTTCTGCATTCAGTACTTTTGCAGACTAGGTACCCTGATCAACTGTCCCATGGAAAACAATTTAAAACATGGGATACAATTCTTTAAAACTTTTTATACATTCACCAATGCAAGAACATCAGAAATACTCAGGGGACAAAAACTATGAGAAAGAGCAATCTTTAGCTCCAAAGCTGAAACATTGAGGATGGCTGTCATCTTGAAATGATCTTGTGCTCAAGTTGTCACCAAGAGCAAGAGAAAAGAGAAACATTCCTGGATCTGTCTGAGGTGGAACTGTTGAGAAAATTTGCCCTCCCTTCCTTTATTAAGCTGGGAAAGCAAAGGGCTATATCCCTGCTATAAAAATGAAATATAAACCTACATTGCTCTTTCTCTTTCTTTTCCTTCATCCTCTATAGAAGACTACCAGGAGCATTGCTTGCTTCACATCTCAGGTATAAGTAAAGAAGGAAAAAAGCCAACCTTTACTCAGGTTGGTAGTCAAGATTCACACTCTAGAGATTGTTAAGAATATTTTTAAAACTCTAAAGTAAAAATTTAGTGTGAAGTGCTCTTTTTAAATTGCCTGATAAAAGCAATATACATTCTCTCTACATGCACCTACTTCAAGCTAGGCCTCAAAAGATACCAATAGATAAAGTTGCAGGAAATGTGAGCTCTCAATGAAAAAAAAAAAAAGTATAAAATACCATGAATGAAAGCTAACAAAACAATAGTGGAATTAAACTGCTAAAGGGTTGAAA
Organism: Homo sapiens; assembly: GCF_000001405.40. Classification (NCBI taxonomy): domain Eukaryota; kingdom Metazoa; phylum Chordata; class Mammalia; order Primates; family Hominidae; genus Homo; species Homo sapiens. The sequence goes on from NW_019805497.1 coordinate 139,804, forward strand.
TTTATCAAATACAATAGATTTAAAGAAATAAAAAGGACTGACAACGTAAGTAAGAACAACAAACTTCAAAAATGAAAAAGAAAAAGAATCAGAAACAGCCAGAAATAAAAATATATATAGTTAAAAGTTTATGAATAAGCTTAATAGCTGATAGACCCACCCAAAAGAAGGATTTTTGAACTGGAATATAGAACTGAAAAAAATACATAGAATGCAAAAGAGAGAGAAAAAGAAATTGAAAATACAGAAAAAAGGTAAATACAAGAGGAGATTAAGAAAGTCAGATATTTGTGTAATCAGAGAAGGAACAGGGCAGAGTAAAATAGAGATAGTATGTAAGAAGATAATTGGTAAGAATTTTCCAGAAATGATAGATGAGTAAGTACAGAGTCAGGAATCTCAATGAATCTCAAGCAGAAAGAAAAAAATTACAATATTTTTAAAATTGTAAAGTAGCGAAAGCAAAAGAGACCTTGCAGAAGCTGTAGAGAAAAGACAGAGTATGTAGCAATTGACAATGGAAGCCTGAAAAGAGCAGCATTATACTATCAGTAGCCAAGATAAAAATGTTTTACCGTCTCATTAAACGTTATATACTCAATAATATAATATTCAAAATGAGCCAAAAATGTGTATAAATATATAACACAGATAGAAATACAATAATAATGGGTTATATTAGAACACCCCTTAGCCTTTGACAGATTAAGTAGAATGATCCACTCCAAAAAAAAGAAGCAAGATAGGATCATAGAGAATTTTATTTTGTATTAAAATATAGTAGGTAGTGGCAAGCTATTTTTTCTTCTATTTCAACAACTATAAAAAGAAATACATCATAAGATTATATTTTTAAAGACATTGCATAGGTGTAGAAGCAAAGAAGCTTATATATCAACTAAAATTTTAAAGACAAGAATTCTTCCTAGTTGAATTGTTAATCAGTCTTTCCTCTTTGAGGTCACTGGATTAAGACTGAGCTTGCCATAGATAGAAAAGCTCTACTAAGTTTAGCTAAATGAATAAACAAACAAAGTGAGCTTTCTAAAAACTGCTGCACGGGCTGGCATGACAAACTGAAATCCAGAGAAACCAAAGACATTGTTGACTAAAGAAAGAAAAATAAAGCTTTTAAAGAATTAAAGTTAGTTTTATTCACAAGCCTTACTGAGGACTGTAGATGATTATAGCCTGAAAGGAGTCTTTTGGGGAGATTCTATCAGCCTGCTCCAAAACAGTGTTTCAGTTCATTACTTATATACAGGTTGTGAAAGTTCAGTATGTATGAAATTCATTTTAAAACTTTTTTCTCCTTTCTCTCTACTGTTAAGATGTAACCCTGAAATAGACTGTAGAAACATTTTTTTCTTAGTCTTAAAATATAGCCTTGAAATGTACTTTGAAACTCTCCTCTCTTTCCCACCAGACACTCCCTTAAAATACGCACGCTTATCTAACTGTATGCTTGTTTAAAAATTCCAGGGACTTATTTTACAACAAGCCAAGCATGGAAGCCCAGTTGTGGGATTCTCTTCCACTTGGAAATTACCTCAAGATGGGTTATCTGCAACCTGGCTACAACTGACATAGTACCAGCTGGAACTCCAGGTGGACAATAATTCAAGATAGCATTTGCAGCAAGACATGCAGACCTGCATCCTGTACTACTTCTGTGTATTTTTCATGCCAAGCCTCTACTTTTAAATCCCTCCCCTCAGCCGAAGACCTAAAATGGTCTTTTAAAGATATGAGTCTGGCCATTTCCCAGTTGGTAGCATTTGATATATAAAACTGCCTTCCTCTCACCACACCTCACTTCTTGAGTTTTCGGCCTCTGAGCAGCAAGCAGCCGCACTTCAGCCAGCTACAAGTATATGCTCAGAAGTTACATTAAAGCAAAATCATATCACCGTTTAGGTGCAAGAGTATATCTGGTTGTGGATTACAGAGGCATAATCACTAACCGTGTCAGAAGTTGTCTTATGTGTAGGAAAAGGCAAGGACTAGGGTCATTTATCTTTTAAGGAATGTAGTGACTCAGGCAAGAGATGTGGTGTCCATGTGCTGTATCCTTGTTTTATCTTCAAATCATCCTTCTGGAGAGCTGCATATCATTACAAAGTCAGGGCTTTGTGAAATTTTGCTGGCAAGCAGAAATGAACAAACACGGCTTCTTACATTTGCAACTTTGTCTCACAACACACATTGAATTTTCTCTAAGGGACATTTTTTAAGTGAAAGGGTGGCACAAGAATATGGGAGCTACACCGGAAAGGTAGAGTGAAGATCTCCCTCAGTCTCACAGTGCTTGCAATTCAAAGTCCTGCTAGAAGAAGGATCAAGAAAAAATTTATTGTGTAAATTATATACTTGGCTTTTGTCTCTGTTTCCTGGCATATAATTCTTAAAATCTTTGGAATCTCCAAAGTGATGTTGTTTTGTATACTAACAAGTTTACTGATGGCTAGTAGCCCCTAGGTAGCTTCAGGATGAAGGCTGGTCATAGAAGAAAACAAGACATGATTAAGAGGATTGGGACTTTCAGCCCCATCTCCAACTTCCAGATAGGATAGAGGGGTTGAAGGTTAAGTCAATCATGAAAAGCCAATAGCTTCATCAATCATGCCTATGTAATGAAGTTTCCATAAAACCCCAAAAGAACTGGGTTTGGAGAGCTTCCAGATAACTGAATACGTGGAGGATCCTAGAGAGTGACACACTCGTCGAAGCTCCTCCCCTTCTCCCATACCTCACCCTGTGCATCTCTTCATCTGTTTTCTTTGCCCAATAAACTGGTAAAGGTAACAAGTGTTTCTCTGAGTTCTGTGGGCCATGCTAGAAAATTAATCAAACCCAAAAAGGGTGCTGTAGGAAGCTAAATTTGAAGCAGGTCTCTGTGGGATCTGATGCTGCTGACAGACAATGTTAGAATTGAATTGGAGGGCACTCAGGTGGTGTCTGCTATAGAGCTGATGGCTTGCTTGGTGGTTGCGAGAAACCCCCATATTTGGTCACTGAAATCTTATGTGTTGATTGTTGCAGTATGAGAGTAGACGAAAAACAGTTTTTGTTTTTAAAGTTTTAAGCTACGTCTAAACTCACATAGCTTTCAGTAGAACAATGGAAGCCACAAAACAATAGAATGACATCTTTAAAGTGATCAAATGAAAAAAAACATCAAAAATGAAAGTTTGGGTTTGGATTTGGGAAATATGGTAACATCCGTGGAAGTATAGATTTTGGATCTTTCCAAATCACTGCATGGGAACAGGGTAGTTACCAAAACCAAAGCCTATGGATGATATTTACAAAAGCAAAACAAAAGCGCTAATGTAACACAACTGATGGGTTTAGTTCACTGTAAAAGTGGCTGAGTGCAAGGGACCCATAGTAAGGCCTCAGGGAGCTGAAACTGGTTATTTCCTATTAACTTTCAAACTGAACCAACAGGCATTCCTCCCAGGGCAGGGCTCAGATCTAACGAGGAACTGCTTGGAGTGGAATCACAATAAGGATGACAGAGCAAAAAGAAGATGGGCCGGATAAAAGCGCTAGAGAGAGAACTGGAGAATCTCAGAAAACAAACTCAATTTTTTTTAACAACACACACAAAAAAAATGGATGAAGGGAAACTATTAAGTTATTAAAAAAAAAAAGCTATCTAAATCAGAATCTCTTCACATAGCCCAGAAAGAATAATTTCACATGAAAATGAGAGATACAAGATATTAAGATCAAATCTCATATGAATCTACCATGAGAAAAAAGTGTGAATAAGAAGTAGAATAATAATCCTACAGAATAACTGGAAAGGCATATTCAAGAAATAAACACAACTTTAATAGAATGTTTTAAAATGGGCTGAAAAACTTTAAGAAAATGATTCAAGACACAAAAGAACAGCACAAATCAGAATTAGAGTAACAGAAATTACATAACAGAACTTAAGAATCAGAGGCTGGGCGTGGTGGCTCACGCCTGTAATCCCAGCACTTTGGGAGGCCAAGGTGGGCGGATCACGAGGTCAGGAGATCGAGACCATACTGGCCAACACGGTGAAACCCCGTCTGTACTAAAATTGCAAAAAAAATTAGCCGGGCGTGGTGGTGGGCACCTGTAGTCCCAGCCACTCGGGCGGCTGACGCAGGAGGATGACGTGAACCCTGGAGGTGGAGCTTGCAGTGAGCTAAGATCGTGCCACCGCACTCCAGCCTGGGCGACAGAGCCAGACTCCGTCAAAAAAAAAAAAAAAAAAAAAATCAGAAACAAGATTTTAAAAAGACTTAACTCATATACAGCTTTTTTTGTGGAACATAAATTTTCATTTCTCTTGAATATAAATGAAATTGTATAATTGCTGGGTCATATCATAAGTTAGTTATATGGTAAGTTGGTATGGTGAATTACATGTTTAATTAAGAAAGTACTATACTGTTTTCCATAATACTGGACCATTTATATTCCCATCAGCAATATGTTGGAACTTTATTTTCTCCAAATCCTTGCCAGCATTTTATATCCTTAAAAATTTTAGCCTTTCTGATAGACATGAAGTAATAATAAATTTTGAATCAGGTGTTAGCCCTTAAAAATCATTCTTCTTTATCAAGTTGTTTTGCCTATTCTAGGTTCACTTGCCTTTTCATGTGGATTTTAGAATCTCCTCGTAGAACTGCTTGCTTGCTTGGTGGTTGGGAGAAATCCCCATATTTGGTCACCGAAATCTTATGTGTTGATTGTTCACAAAAAGCCTGCTGAGATTTGACTGCCGTTGTGTTGAATCTTGAATCAGTTTGGGAAGAATTGACATAACGATATTAAGACTTCCCACCTATAACATGGTGTATCTCTAAACTTACTTCAGTGGTCTTCAATTACTCTTAGCATTTTAAAGTTTTCAGTTTATAAGTTTTGCGTATCTTTTGTAAGCTTTATTCTTGAATATTCCAAAACTTTGAATGTGATTATAAAGATATAATTTTTTTAAATTAAAAAATAATTTAGAGACAAGGTCTTGCTGTGTTGCCCAGGCTGTACTTAAATAGCCTCCTGAACAGCTAGGACTTCAGGAAATTTCTGTTTCCAATTGTTTGTTGCTTGTATATAGCAATACAATTGATTTTTGTATTTTTATCCTGAAACCTAAACTCACTCATTAGGGCAGTTACTTTTTATAGACTCCATTGGATTTTTTGAATAGATAATCATGTCATCTGAGAATAGAGACAGTTTAACTTCTTTCTTTCCAATATAGTCTTTTATTTCTTTTCTTGCTATATTTCATTGACTGGAATCTCCACCTATATGTTGAATAGAAGTGGTCTGCTATGCTTGCTTTGTTACTGATCTTAGGAAAAGCACTCAGTCTTTTACCATTAAATATCATGTTTACTGTAGGTTTTTCAGGAGTTACTCCTTAATAAGTTGAAGAATTTTTCTCTAGTTCTAGTTTGCTGAGAGACTTTATCATGAAACAGGATTGAATTTTGTTAAATGCTTTTTTCTGCATATATTGAAATGATCATATGAATTTGCTTTTCTAAGTTGTTAGTATGGTGAATTATATTGATTAAATTTTGAATGTTGTGCCTACCTTACATTCCTAGGATAAACTCCACATGATCATGATATATTGCCTTTTCCACTTATAGTTGAATTAGATTTGTAACATGTTCTGAAGAATTATAGAATTTATGGCCATGAGGGATATTGATCTGTAATTTTTTTTTCTTATTAGTGTCTTTTTTTTTGTTTTCCTAACAGGGTAATAGTGGACATATAGAATGAGTTGGAAAGTATTCCCTCATCTTTAATTTTAAAAGACGTTGTGAAAAAAATATATATTTTTCTGAAAAGTTTTGTTTTCATTCCACAGTGAAGCCCTCTGGGCCTGAATTTTTCTTTGAGGGCATTTTTTCCCACCTTTATTGAGGTATAATTGACAAATAAAAATTGTATATATTTAAAATGTACAACATAATGTTTTAATATACATTTAAAATGTAAATATTTACCACCATCGACTTAATATATCTATAACCTTACATAGTTACCATTTTTTGTGATAACAATTTATACTTTTCTTAGCAAATTTCAAGTACACAATATTATTAACTATAGCCACCATCCTGTACATTACATCCCAAGAATTTATAAATCTTACATATATGAAACTTTACACTGCTTGATCAACATTTTGCCATTTCTCTTACCCCAGTCCATTCTACTTACTGCTTCTGAGTTCAACTATTTACGATTCCACATGTGAGTTAATGCAGTATTTGTCTTTTTGTGTTTCATTTATTTTCCTGTATGGATTTTTTTTTTTTAATTATACTTTAAGTTTTACGGTACATGTGCACAACGTGCAGGTTTGTTAAAGATGTATACATGTGCCATGTTGTTGTTGGCGGAATAGGAACAGCTCCAGTCTACAGCTCCCAGCGTGAGCGACGCAGAAGACGGGTGATTTCTGCATTTCCAACTGAGGTACCGGGTTCACTGGGGAGTGTAGGACAGAGGGTGCAGGACAGTGGGTGCAGTGCACCAAGCGTGAGCCAAAGCAGGACGAGGCATCGCCTCACCTGGGAAGCACAGGGGGTCAGGGAATCCCCTTTCATAGTCAGAGAAAGGTGACAGACGGCACCTGGAAAATCTGGTCACTCACACTCTAATACTGAGCTTTTCCAATGGTCTTAGCAAACAGCACACCAGGAGATCATATCCTGTGCCTTGCTCAGATGCTCCTACGCCCACGGAGCCTCGCACATTGCTAGCACAGCAGTCTGAGATCAAACTGCAAGGCGGCAGCGAGGCTGGGGGAGGGGCACCCGCCATTGCCCAGGCTTGAGTAGGTAAACAAAGTGGCTGGGAAGCTCGAACTGGGTGGAGCCCACCGCAGCTCAAGGAGGCCTGCCTGCCTCTGTAGACTCCACCTCTGGGGGCAGGGCATAGCCAAACAAAAGGCAGCAGAAAACTGCAGACTTAAATGTCCCTGTCTGACAGCTTTGAAGAGAGTAGTGGTTCTCCTAGCACGCAGCTGGAGATCTGAGAACGGACAGACTGCCTCCTCAAGTGGGTCCCTGACCCCTGAGTAGCCTAACTGGGAGGCACCCCCCAGTAGTGGCAGACTGACACCTCACACGGCCGGGTACTCCTCTGAGACAAAACTTCCAGAGGAGCGATCAGGCAGCAACATTTGCTGTTCACCAATATTCGCTGTTCTGCAGCCTGCCTTGCTGATACTCAGGCAAACAGAGTCTGGAGTGGACCTCCAGCAAACTCCAACAGACCTGCAGCTGAGGGTCCTGACTGTTACAAGGAAAACTAACAAACAGAAAGGACATCCACACCAAAACGCCATCTGTACATCACCATCATCGAAGACCAAAGGTAGATAAAACCACAAAGATGGGGGAAAAACAGAGCAGAAAAACTGGAAACTCTAAAAATCAGAGCGCCTCTCCTCCTCCAAAGGAACGCAGCTCCTCACCAGCAAGGGAACAAAGCTGGACAGAGAATGACTTTGATGAGTTGAGAGAAGAAGGCTTCAGACGATCAAACTACTCCGAGCTAAAGGAGGAAGTTCGAACCCATGGCAGAGAAGTTAAAAACCTTGAAAAAAAATTAGACGAATGGCTAACTAGAATAACCAATGCTGAGAAGTCCTTAAAGGACCTGATGGAGCTGAAAACCACGGCACAAGAACTACGTGACGAATGCACAAGCCTCAGTAGCTGATTCGATCAACTGGAAGAAAGGGTATCAGTGGTGGATTTCATGTGATATCATTTTCCTTCTGCTTTCCGTACCTAATTCAACATTTCTCATAGTAATCTTCTATGGTGAAAGAATCTTTCAGCTTTTTTATATCTTTTTTCTTTTTTGAGACAGGGTCTCACTCTGTCTATTTCTCAGGCTGGAGTGCAGTGATGCAATCCTGGCTAACTGCCACCTCTGTCTCCAGGCTCAGATGACCCACCCCGCTCAGCCTCCCAAGTACTAGGACTACAGGCATGCACCACCACGCCTGGCTTTTTTTTTTTTTTTTTTTTGAGATGGGTTTTTGCCATGTTGCCCAGGCTGGACTCAAACATCTGGGCCAAGCAATTCTCCCACCTCAGCCTCACAAATTGCTGGAATTACAGGTATGAGCCACCATGCCCGGCCCCAGCTTTTTTATATCTTAAAAGTTCTTTATTTTGCCAGTCTTTTTGAATTTCCACAGGGTATATAATTCTAGGCTATCACGTTTTTCCTTTATTATTTTAAAAATGTTGCCTCACTCTCTTCTGGTTTGCATTTAGACAAGAAATAGGTAGTTTTCCTTATCTCTGTGTCTTTTTTTTTTTTTTTTGTACTGTGTCTTTTTTTTTTTTTTTGCTGCTTTTAAGATTTTATTTTTATTACTGGCTTTGAGAAACTTGATTATGATGTACAAAACTTGCTGTAGTTTTCTTCATATTTCTTGTGCTCAAGGTTGATTGAGATACTTGGATCTTCATGTTTATAGTTTTAATCACATTTGGAAAAAAGTTGGCCATTGTTTTTTCAAACATCTTTTCTGGTTTTCCATTTCCTTTGAGGTCTCCAGTATTGTATATATCAGGATTTTGAAGTTCTCCCACTGCTACTGATGTTCTGTCCACTACTTTTTTTTGTTTGTTTTTCCCTCTGTTTTATTTTCAATGATTTCTGTTGATACTAATTATTAGTCTTTTATTCTACCATGTCTAATTCATCATTAATCTCATGCAATATTTTACATCGTAGTCTTCGACTGTAGAAGTTTTTAAAAAGTATATGTGTCTAATTAACATGTTTATCTTTGATTTAGTTTTTTGAACAAGTGGTATAGTGCTATAAAAGAGCTATAGTAACTCTTTTAATGTCTTAGCCTATTATATTATCTGTGCTATCTCTGGTTTAATTTAAGTTGTTTGATTTTTTTTCTCATTATTGAACACATTTTCCTTCTTCTCTACATACCTATTTAAAATTTTACTTCCTAACATTGTGAATTTTACCTGGTGGGTGCTGAGTATCTGTTCTGCCTTGCAGTTAAATTACTTAAACATTTTATTATTTGGATATACCTTTTAAGCTTTTTTAGGGAAAAGGAGAACAAGAGCAACAGTTAATCTGTGGGTATTTTTGCCTTCTAATGAGACAAAAACCTTCAGAGTACTCTAGCTCACGTCTCATGGATTGTAAGGTTAACTCTGACAGATGGGAACCAAAATATTGTCACGTTGTATGATCTCTTGGGTTTTCTCTAATCTTTTCGGATGATGCTTTTCCCATCTTTGATTAGTTTTCTCAGATTCATGTGCTGCTCAGTACGCAGCACCTCCTCAAGTGGGACTCTGTAGGTCCCTGGAATTCTTACTCTGTGCAGCCCTCTATCTTTCAGTACTCTGCCTTGCAAATTCTATCTACCTTGGCCTCCTTGGAACTCCAGCTCTATCTCTTTGACTCAGGAAGACCGTTCCACTACCGTGCCTAAGTTCCTCTGTGTTGTAAACTTGAAACTTTCTCTAGGCTGTAAGCTAGGGTTATTGTATTACTTATCTCATTTGTGTCTTATCTCTCAGAGATCACTGTCATTTATTGCCTAATGTCCATTGTCTTGTGAACTGTTGTTCCATGCATTTTGTCTGTTCGTTTTTGTTTTGGGAAATAAAGTAAATCTCGCTTCTCTTCTTCTGTCTTAGTTAGAATCAATGTCACAGGAGATTTTGAATGCTTTTTCAAACCACTAATGGTACGAATTGTCTCAGGTTGGGCTTTGTGGAAGCAGACATTGAGACATGCTTGGCATACAGGATATTTACAGGAATCAATATCTGTAGAAGGAAGGAGGTGGAAACAGGATTGGGTAGATGGAGATTTCAAACTATGATGCAGGCCCAACATTATCTTGCCAATCCCATGGGGAGCTCTGAAAAATATAAATACTGTCCTGTGGTGAAGTGAAATGGTCAGGTCTTTATATCAACATGACAATCACTCATTGCTTGTGAAACAACCTGGTAATGTATCCTATTATGTAAGGTGGCTATCTGCAGCTGAAGCTAATTGTAACCTGATACAACTGACAGAGATTGTATAGTGCTCTGTAGCAACAGTCCTTGAAGGGAAAATCTTAATGACACATCTCCATTTCCACCACATTGGTTACATGGAAATGCTATTCATGGTAAAGGCGGCACAGCAGAGCAGTAGTAAAAGAGATGAACTGTTCAAAAAGTTTTGCTGGGTTAATTAATCATATGTAAAAAAGAGTAAACTATTACCTATACCTCTTGCCACATACCTAAAAAGGATTCTTATTGGATTACAAATATGAAAGTAAAAACAAAACAAAATAAAACGAAAAACAAACTTCTGAAAGATGACATACAAGAACATTTCACTGGAGAATGATTTTTGAAACAGAATAAAGAAAACAAAAATCACTAAGTAATATACAAAGTATGATACTGCAATTAAGAACTTTTTCATCAATGGATGAGACTCTAAAAAAACAAACTACGGAGTGAGCTAAATTATTTGTAACTGATAGACATTTGTATCAACACTGTACAAAGAACATTTACATAACAGTAATAGAAATCAGTAGGGGAAATAAAATTTTAATCACCATCAAACATATGATCAGATGCTTGTCTCATTATTAATAAGTTGGAAAAAATGTCCTTTAAGATACCACCATACATTTATGTTTGGCTAAAGTTGAAAATATTGTACTTTAAGTGTTTCCAAGAAAGTACAACTACTGGTTCAGGTTAATTGGTAAAAATACTTTGTCAAATTTTGGCACTTTCTCATAATGATGAAGATGAGCCTTTTCCAGACCCAGCTACACCTTTACATGTATATTAATGCACACACAAAGACACCCAGGAAATATGTACAAAGATGTTCAAAACAGCATTATTTATAAAATCAAACACTGGAAATAATCTAAGCATTAATTAACTATAAAGGGCATGCATAAATTCTGGTATAACCAT